>NT_187643.1:0-170698 GCF_000001405.40 Homo sapiens | reverse complement strand
GAATTCCCCATGAGTCCTGTGACCTCAGCCCACACGGGGACCTACAGGTGCTACGGCTCACTCAGCTCCGACCCCTACCTGCTGTCTCACCCCAGTGGCCCCGTGGAGCTCGTGGTCTCAGGTGAGGGCGCTGACCCTGTCCTCTCTGAGCTCAAAGGCTCAGCTCAGGCCCTGCCCCCAGCAGAGCTCTGGACACTAAGGAAAGAGGGGAGTGAAGGGAGAGGGTCCGCAGGGGAGGGTCCAGCCCATGGGAAGATGGAAATAGACAGGGACCTCCCACCCCTGGCTCCCACCCCTGAAGTCTCAGTAGAGTAAAGTGCAGGGAGGGCTGGGAGGAGACGGGGGGTGAACCTCAAAGGAGTTGAGATTAGACTGAGGGTGGAAGACGGAGGCCCCACCTGCTCCCATCCTGGTGTCTCCACCTCAGAATCAGAGCCTCTGTGTCCCAGTCCCCAACAGACGCCCTCCTGGAGAGAGAAGCATCCAGGCTGCCGGTGCCACCTGCATCCACCCCCGACCCCCCCCCACCCCGCCCCACTTCCTGCTTTCCCCTGCAGCCTCCCCAGCACTCAGCGCACACCTGAGCCTCACAGGGACTTGCACGTGCTCCCGCAGCAGCTCAGGGAATGTGCACCGCTCCTCTTCTGCGCCGTTGACATTTTTTATTTGGGTTTTTAAAATCTCATATTGGCCTTTTTGTCCAAGCTGGTGAAAGTAGATTTGCAGCATCACCTATTTTTATTCTCACCCGGTTTCGTAATAGCCCTGATCTCACGTGCTCCCTGAGGTTTTGTAAACTTCAGGTAGAAATGTGGACTTCCTTCGTTCTGGACATTTGCTATGGAGGGGGTAGGGCTTATCTTTTCAGAAAAAGTCAAATGACTGGTACCACTCCTTGAAACCCTACAGCACTTTCCAGACCTCAGAGGGAGGGAGAGAGAGGCAGAGACAGAGACAGAGAGACAGAGAGAGAGATATTGGGGCCGCTCTTTCCTGGCCGGTTCATCCTGGCCTATTCTCAATCCACCAAGGCCCCGAAGCTCATCTCCCCTCCTCCTCTGCCTCCTCCTCCACCCTGTAGACAAGCGGCCATTCCTTTCTGAAGAACAGGCTGAGACCTTTCTGGGACCTGCTCTTTCTGGAGCCTCTGTTGCTCCCTGTCTGGGTCTCCACACGCCTCCTTCCTGGCCCTTTTTCCTATTGAGGAATCAGCTTCAATGTCACCTCCAAGTGTGACCTTCACTGACGACACAGCTCAGCCCAGTCCTGCCTGCTTCTCATTTATGTCAAGTAATTAACCAACCTACACCATGCGGCTGAATTCCTTCTCTCTCTCTTCCACTCTCTGCATATACGTGTGTGTGTGTGTGTGCGCGTGTGTGGTCACACCAACATCTTACGTGACATTGAAACCTAGTTATCCGTATATCTATACAAATAATATATATTCACACATAAATATAGGTCTCTACCAATATATCTAAAACCATTGCTACGACTAGTAAATTTCCACTGCTGTGTTTCTATATGTTTGCTGTTTGTCTCCAGGTGAACCCACACTTCAAGAAGGCAGAGATAGTTTTTAAGGCCCACTATATATATAAAACAGATATATATTTGTGTTTGTGTTTTTCTGTGTGTGTATCACATTCTACCTGTTGCTGCCTATACGAATAATTAGCTACCTAGAGATTAAATGGACAATGAAACTCCAGGTGAAGTGGCTGAGGGCATGAAGGGGAGGCAGCCCCAGAATTTCACCCCTTTGTGCTTCTGACATTGAGGCTCCCCTGATGACTAACCCTCATCCACGGAGCCTGGGTCCTCAGCTGGTGGATCCGTGAAACTCTCATCTCCGGGGGAGTTGGCTCATGTTCTCCTGTGTCCCAGGCTGCACAGAGAGCACACAGGCCTTAGTGACCTCTGTACTGGGGACCACTTTCCTTGCAGATCCTGAGCTCTCAGGATGCAGGAAAACTCTCTCCCAGATGACTCAGGAGCAATGTTTAAATCCATAGAACACAGGAAAACTGAAATCGTTCAATGAGGAGACTAGAGGGAATCCTGCTAGCGGAGGAAGAGGTTTTTTTTTTTTTTTTTTAGAAATTCTGTAAAAGTCACATCATGAGACATTAAGTAATAAAAAAAAAATTGCAGAGCCCAGGTGAGAGGCTGGGCTCAGGTCTCTTTTTCTCTGTTTTGATTCTCTGGAGCAGCTGATACCCTCAGCCCATCACAAAACAAGTCTGACTCTGAGACTGGTATGTGAGGAGATACTCTCAGTGATGGGGCTGGCACTGAGGGTTGGGTCCTGTGAAGGGGAGGTGGGTGCCCTGGGTGGACAATCTGATCCACCCTGACCTCTGTGACCTCTTTGTCCACCATCCCCAGCCTCACACCTTCAGGATTACGCAGTGGAGAATCTCATCCACATGGGCGTGGCTGGCTTGATCCTGGTGGTCCTCGGGATTCTGTCATTTGAGGCTTGGCACAGCCAGAGAAGCTTCCCAAGATGCAGCCGGGAGGTGAACAGCAGAGAGGATAATGTACTTTATAGAGTCGTGAAGCCTCAGGAACAGATCTGATGATCCCAGGAGGTTCTGGAAGAAAATCTAGGGCCGATGCTATCTGGACTGTCTGCTGGTCATTTCCAGAGGAAGGAATCAATGTCCGAGTGCAGGGACATTTTCTGGGGTGATCCATGGAGAACCATTAAAATGTGATACCTTTCCTCTCCATTAATGTTGACTTTCCTTGGTTGGATCTGCCTCTTTTCCCACACTTAGACATGAGGCTCCATCCCACATGGCAGCGTTGGGTCCACACCTCTGCACACCTGCATGCTCTGGTCCATGGCGTGTCACACAGTCCTCTTCATTTCTCATTGCCACACTTCCTGGTGTACTTTACTGGGTCTTCATGTCTTCAGTTCAGAGTTCCGCACCTGGTTTAGGAACTAATTCAACGGGAGAAGATCAGAGTCCGACCAGGAAAAGATAAATGCACCGTGATGCCCTCACCTCCTGTGTGGACCCTATGAGCTCTTCCCTCCTTATCAGATGCTATCTGTGTAGTTTCTCCTGAAATATCACCACCTGGAATCAACACACTGGCATTTGAAGTCACGACCCAATGGTATGCTAATTCTGAAAAAGACATTTTTTGAAATGCTATGATTAGTGGCATTTACCAATTTCCTTGACGTAAATTCTTTTTTCATGGCCATAATCAAGATGCCAACGAGACATCCCTGAATGCAGGGTTGGGAAGCGTTGGACAGACTTGTCTTCACTCATAAGCACCAGGCATCTGATAGCTCACGTATACATCTTATTACCTTCCATTTTAGAGTGAATAATCATTTCTACTTCAGTATTTTGGCACAGGTAAAAGCAGTCCCATTACTGCGCGTATACCCAAAGGAATATAAATCATTCTATTGCAAAGATACATGCACACATGTGTTCATCGCAGCACTATTCACAATAGCAAAGACATAGAATCAACCCAAATGCCCATCAATGATAGACTGGATAAAGAAAATGTGAGACATATACACCACGGAATACTATGAAGCCATAAAAAGAAACAAGATCATGTCCTTTGCAGGGACATGGATGGAGCTGGAAACCATTATCCTCAGGAAACTAACACAGGAACAGGAAATCAAACGCTGCATGTTCTCACTTACAAGTGGGTGCTGAACAATGAGAATGCGTGAACACAGGGAGGGGAACAACACACACTGGGGCCTGTCGGGGGGGGGGTGGGGTAGGGGTAGGGAGAGCATTAGGAAAAATAGCTAATGTATGCTGGGCTTAATACCTAGGTGATGGGTTGACAGGTGCAGGAAACCACCATGGCGCACATTGACCTATGCAATAAGCCCACACATTCTGCACATGTACCCCGGAACTTAAAATAAAAATAAAAATTAAAATTAAATTATGACACCATGATCCTAGCATATCCAAAAAAGACAAAAATGCCAATATCAAATGTCGGAGAAAATAGGGCTGAATTAAAAATCCAATACAACGCCGGGCGCAGTGGCTCACGCCTGTAATCCCAGCACTTTGGGAGGCCAAGGTGGGTGGATCACTTGAAGTCAGGAGTTTGAGACCAGCCTGGCCAAACGTGGTGAAACCCTGCCTCTACTAAAAATACAAAAATTAGCCGGGTGTGGTGGCACTCGCCTGTAGTCCTAGCTACTAGGGAGGCTGAGGCAGGAGAATCACTTGAACCCGGGAGGCGGAGGTTGCAATGAGCTGAGATCATGCCACTGAACTCCAGCCTGGGTGACAGAGCGAGACTCCGTCTCAAAAAAAAAAACAAAAAAAAAAAACCCTCAAAAGCTCAGGCAGCAAAAGCAAAAATAGGCAAATGAGATCATAGCAAACTGCAAACCTTCTGCACAATCAAGGAAACAAACAGCAGAGTGAAGAGACCACCTACAGAATGGGAAAGAATATTTGCAAGCAAGAGATTAATCTCCAGAAAATACAAGGAGCTCAAACAATGCAGAGGTTTTGAAGGATGGTGATGAGAAGGTTCTGCTACTTACAGAAAGGAAGTTTAGGAGAAACAAAACCACAAACCTAGGTGGTGGGATGGCTTGATCTGCTTCTGTCTGTGACTCACTTAACAGTCTTAAACACATCTCCCTAAGCCTCCTTCCCCCGGTGGGATTCCTGGGTCTTGTGAGGACCTCATCGGTCCCTCTGGTAAACCCAGGCACAGAGTGGAGCAGCTCTTGTTTTCTCAGGATCTTCCCCTTCACATACAATTAACGCACCCACACGATGCTACTCTTAGAACCCTTCAAATAAATGTTTCCCGGTTCATTCACTACCAGAATCCAAGCTCAGCTTGTTCCCCAGCTTAGGACTGAGTGGTATCTTGGAGGTAGTTTCCACCATAGCCCCCTTCCTCTGCTATAAGGCTCAGTGACACACCAGAGACACCCCCTCCAGCCAGGCTCCTGGAAGGTCTGGATGAAGACTGGGATGCTGAGGCATTGCTCAGCAATGTGGCTTAACTCAAACTTCTATGTGAAACTTCCAACCACTTTCAGCAAGGGGTCACTTCCAGCGTCTTGGGGTGTGAGGGCACTTTGGTTGGTCCCTGCAATATCAGACCCTATAAAGATCCTACAAACATGTTGCAGACTCTTTGAAGATTCTGGCACTTTCAGACATGCTGTTGGGAAATGGTGACACCCATAACCTTCTAGTTCCAGGACAGGGAGCCTTAGCCCAGGGCTATGTTTTCTGAGGGTCCTCAAAGTAAACAGTTCTATGTGCCAGGAGAACCCTAAATCTCATATGGTTCTAAGGGCAGAAAGCCACACACGCACCGGCAAAAAGCAAGAGATTCAAGGAAAAGCTGAGCAAAGACAGACAGGAAAACACACACATGATGAGCCAGCTTGTAGAGCTAGAACTGAGATGGAGAGAGGCACGAGTGGGTAACAGAGTGTGCTCCCCAGAACAGGTGGAGAGAATGCCTTTTTCATGCCCTGAGGATAGGCTGGGTAAGGCTTGTGCTCGACAGTCAAGGACTATTTTTTTCCCCAGGCGTCTACAAGAGACCTTCCTTCTCAGCTCAACTGTGCCCTGCAGTAAGTAATGATGGAGAGAATGTGACTTTGCTCTGCAGCTCTGGAAGCTCATTTGACCTGTGCCTTCTAACGAGGAAGGTAAGGCCCCTGGACACTGGCTCACTGGGGTGCAGAGACAGAGTGGGGCATTCAGGCCAACTTCTCTCTGGGTCTTGGGGCTGGTGATGGGACCTCTAGATGCTGCAGCTCTCTGTCGATGGCTCTGCCTGTGAGTGATCAGCCCTAGATGACCACTGTTACTGGGGGTAGCCCATGCCTGCTGCATGCCCTGTGAAACACTAAATCATATAGCCACGTCTGAGGGACAGCCTGCTGGAGACATGGGAATCTTAGGGATTCCAGACAAAATGAAGCAATGAGAAACACAAAGAGGAAAAGAGAGGTTGAGTATGACAGTGGTGTCAGGGTGTAGGGTGGTAGACAGGGCAGCTCCACACTCTCCACTGCTTCCTGTCTGGAGGCCCACTTTGGGGTCCTACTTATCCAGGTGAGTGAAGGAAGAGGTCAGGACAAACACAGGAGGTGAAGCCAGATACAGTGTGGGGAGATAAGCAGTGGCCTCAGCCTCTAGCCCTTTTCCATCTTCCAGAAGCCCCTCCTGAGCTCTCATCACAGACAGATTTCCCATTTGGAAACCCAGATATTTATCATGCCGGGGGGGGGAGGCAATGTCTCTTGATTATGGGGACTTTCCATCACCAGGCACCTGCTAGTCCTCTCTATACCTTCCCTTCAGGAAAGGAATTGTCCCTCATGGGATTCCAGGGAAGAGACCCCAGGACCCCTATCAGTCACTAGGGAGATGACAGAGTAGAGGAAGTCAGGGGACCAACCCTCCACAGAGAATGGTCCTACTTCAGTGGGGTGAGGGAAACTCTCACTCATCCATTTGCTGTCCTGTTACCTCGGAACCCTAAGAGAACTTGTTAGTCACACACAGAATCTACCCCTGAATGTGGTGTGCAAAGTGGGGCTCTTAGCCTCCAGTGTGAAGTCCCTGGGAAGATGGAATGTCCCTGTGTGAGTGAAGGCTGTGCCACCGCCCAGCTATGTGGCCTTGGGCTAGGCAACCCCTCCCAGGTCCCCAGTTCCCCATCTGCATCGGAGACTGTGGCCAGTGCGGGAATCCACAAGGCCCTTCAGCCTCCAAAGCTCTGGGACAGAGGCCTCGTCCACAGGGAGGAAGGGGTCAGAGTGACCTGAGTCCCTACTCAGGAGCGAGTCTAATCCACTCTCCATCGGGGCCTGTGGGGAAGGGAAGATGAAGAAACGGAGCCTGCACCTGGCTATGTGGGCGCAGTAGATTAAGGGGAGGATGAGGGTTCCTGAGAGTGTGTCATGTGGCAGAGACCCTGCAGCACACTCAGGAAGGGCTCTGGAAGGATCCAAGGAAATTTTCCAAGAAGAGGGCAGAGTAAGTGACAGAGACCCTCAACCATGGATTTCACTGAGGTGCCCATGATGACATAGGGAGAACGGGGGTGTCTGGGCAGGAAGAATATCGTCAGGGTGAAATGAATGGTGATGAGCTTCGTGTCAGAGCTCCTGTGGAGGGAGGGGCCTGGCCCACATGAAAAGGTCTCTGATCCTACCCCAGCCCCCAGCCCCTGTTCTCCAGGATGACACTGTGGGAATTCCATCAGGAGGGGTGTGATAGGGCTGGTCTTCCTGGCTCGATTCACAACACTGGCTGGGGACTGGGAACCCATGGGGAGCCACAGGTGGAAAGGGAGGAGCCTCAGTGAACCCAGCAGGAACAAACATAGGGTCTGACATGATGGAACTCACTTCCTGGAGGCCAAGAAAGACACTTGCGGGACAAAAGGGAAAGAGCGGTGGCTTGCTTAGTTCCATTCACTGACAACCCACAGGAGATGTCCAGTCCTTTTTTGATTTATTATTTTATTTTATTATATTTTATTTTATTTTATTTTATTTTCACATGGAGTTTTGCTCCTATTGGCCAGGCTGGAGTGCAATGGCACGATCTTGACTCACTGCAACCTCCACCTCTCAGGTTCAAGCGATTCTCCTGCCTCAGCCTCCTGCATAGCTGGGATTACAGGCGACTGCCACCACAGCCAGGTAATGTTTGTATTTTTAGTAGAGATGAGGTTTTGCCATCTTGGCCAGGCTGGTCTCAAACTCCTGATCTCATGTGATCCGCCTGTATCAGACTGCCAAAGTGTTGGGATTACAGGCGTGAGCCACCACACCCAGCCTTTTGTATTTTTAGTAGAGATGGGGTTTCACCATGTTGGTCAGGCTGGTCTTAAACTCCTGACCTCAGGTGATCCATCCACCTCGGCCACCCAAAGTGCTGGGAGTACAGATGTTAGCCACCGTACCCAGCGAGAGTTTCAGTGCTCTATCGGATTCCCTGCCTACTCCATGTTGCATGTAATGTTCCACCTCAGGGATGTTTCTCTCCTTTCTGTCTCCTTCCTCTTCTCCTTCTCCTTTTTTCTTTCTAATTTTTATTTTTTTGAGACAGAGCCTTGCTCTGTTACCCAGGCTAGAGTACAGTGGCACGATCCCAGCTCACTGCAACCTCTGCCTCCTGGGTTCAAGAGATTCTCCTGACTCAGCCTCTCAAGTAGCTGGGATTACAGGCACCCGCCATCACACCCAGCTAGTTTTTGTATTTTTAGTAGAGACGAGGTTTCACCATGTTGGCCAGACTGGTCTTGAACTCCTGCCCTCAGGTAATCCACCCGCCTGTGGCCCCCCAAAGTGCTGGGATTACAGGCGTGAGTCACCACTCCCAGCCCTGAATGATCTTTCCTCTTTAGTGTGTTCTCACAACCACCTCTCACTGAGCTTTCTTGTTTTTTGTTTTTGTTTTTGTTTTTGTTTTTGTTTTTGGCAGAGTCTGGCTTTGTTGCCTATGCTGGAGTGCAGTGGTGCAATCTCAGCTCACTGCAACCTCCGTCTCCTGGGTTCAAGCGATTCTCCCACCTCAGCCTCCTGAGTAGCTGGGATTACAGGCACCCACCACCACACCCAGCTAATTTTTGCATTTTTAGTAGACACAGGGTTTCACCATGTTGGTCAGGCTGGTCTCGAACTCCTGACCTTGTGATCTGCCAGCCTCAGCCTCCCAAAGTGCTGGAATTACAGGCATGAGCCACCACTCCCAGCCCTGGATTATCTTTCCTCTTTAGTGTGTTCTCACAACTACCTCTCACTGCTGGGTTTTCTCTCTTTCTTTTTTTTTTTTTTTTTTTTTTTTTTTGAGACAGTCCGGCTTTGTTGCCCAGGCTGGAGTGCAGTGGCGCGATCTCGGCTCACTGCAAGCTCCACCTCCCAGGTTCAAGCGATTCTCCCACCTCAGCCTCCCTAGTAGCTGGGATTACAGGCGCATGCCAGCACACCCAGCTAGTTTTTGTATTTTTAGTAGAGACAGGGGTTTCACCATGTTGGTCAGGCTGGTCTTGAACTCCTGACCTTGTGATCTTCCTGCCTCGGCCTCCCAAAGTGCTGGGATTACAGGTGTAAGCCACTGCACCCAGCCAGCTTTCTCATTCTTATCCCTTAGTTCTCTGCCAGGGAATAAGATAGAAACCATTCCCTCAACCACATTCTAGTCATGGTCCCTATTCTCATGTTTCCACTTCTCTCTCTTTGGTAATAAATCAATTAATTGAGAAACAAGTAGCTAAATGTTCATCTTCTGCTAGTCTGCATCCCCTTATTTTCCCAGAGCCTCCCCTAATGAAACTGACTTTATTTACTGAACGCAGGAAATGGGTCTCTCCAGATCAGGATGACTTTCTGCTGGGAAATATTTGTCTTTGCATCAGTGGGGAAAAAGAAAGCCGATGTCATGAGTGGAGGCTCTGAGAAAATAAGGGCTGTGTTTTCAGTTTAGACCCAGCTAAGTTGGGAGCTGACATAGATATGATGTTGGGTCCACCCTCCACGGGCAGGTTTTCAGACAAAGGATCCCTGGCAATCAGGGGACACCTCAGGTCTGGGCTGAGATGTGTGCAGAGGGCCTGGGTCCTCCTGAGCCCCTGCACTGGGGGGGGAATAAGAGACAGGCCCAGCAAGGGGCTGTCCACTTCCTGTGGGTTCACAGCTGTGGGGACCCAGGCAGGCGGCAGCAGGCTCTGACTTAACCACATCCGTGCATCTGTCTGTCATGGAGGGCCATGTGGTCACCTGTCCCACAGCTGGAGCACGCAGAGCAGGCATCATGGTGTCCATCCTCACTGTTCTTCTGTGCCTCAGTCAGTGGTGGAGAGACGAGGGACAGGAGGGGCACTGGGCTGAGGTGGGGAGGGTCCCACAGCAGCCTTGTTCACCAGAGAGCCTCAGGGCTCCAGTGGCTACTGGTGCTCCAACAGGAAGGGAAGCAGCCACACCTCTGTGTTCCAAATCCCCCACAGGAAACTCTTCTCCATGGCTGAGTCTGGGCCAGAAAGCCCAAGCACTTGCAGGTGAGTCTCTGCTAACCTCCCATGCCTGACCTCACACTCAGCACCTGGACTCTCATCTCAGGGGCTTCTGAACTGAGGGTGAGAAAATCAAGAGGGTCTGTGACCTGAGCTGGGAATGAGGAGCGGGGGAGGTCTGTGGACCCCAGCCTGTGGTTTCTTCCAGGGACCCTCCCCAAACCCAGCCTCTGGGCTGAGCCAGGCTCTGTGATTACCTGGGAGAGCCCCATGACCCTCTGGTGCCAGGGGACCCTGGATACCCAGGGTTACTATCTCACCAAGGAAGGAAACCCCATGACCTGGTACCAACAGAGCCCACCAGAGCCCAGGAACAAGACCAACTTCTTCATCCCATCCATGAGAGAGCACCATGCAGGGAGATACCACTGTCACTATCTCAGCCCTGCAGGCTGGTCAGAGCGCAGCGAGCCCCTGGAGCTGGTGGTGACAGGTAAGAGGACACTCAGGGGTCCCAGCCCCAGGCTCTGCCTGCAGGAAGGGGGTCAGCTCTCAAGGGCATCTCCGTTCTAATAACTCAGCCCTGGGGGATGATGTGGGACGCGTGAGCCCCATTTAAGACAGTGTCTCCTTCTCTCCTAGGAGCCCACAGAAAACCCACTCTCTCAGCCCTGCCGAGCCCTGTGGTGACCTCAGGAGAGAACGTGACCATCCAGTGTAGCTCAAGGGTGGGATTTCACAGGTTCATTTTGATTGAGGAAGGAGAAAACAAGCTCTCCTGGATGCTGGACTCACAGGAACTCTCCAAGGGGCTGTCCCTTGTCCCTGGCCCTGTTCCCTGTGGGCCGTGTGGCTGCCAGTCACCGGTGGATGTTCAGATGCTATGGGCATTACACGAACTTCCCCTGGGTGTGGTCGGAACCCAGTGATACCATGGAGATCCTGGTCTTAGGTATGGATGTCTTCCTCCTTGCCCTATTTATTTTTGAGAACTTACTCTCACGGAGCCCCATGTAGGAGGGTGGAACAAGGGAAGTTTGGGACTCCTGAGCCCAGAGACACTGAGTGTGAGAGACAGTGAGACCTGCAGGGCCAGGAGGGGAGAAGGAAGGGGTGTGGGAGGAACCAGCCCTCCTAGTCCCGACTCTTCTTTCCCTCCAGGCGTGTCTAGGAAGCCCTCCCTCCTGACCCTGCAGGGCCCTGTCGTGGCCCCTGGGGAGAATCTGACCCTCCAGTGTGGCTCTGATGTCGGCTATGACAAATTCACTCTGTACAAGGAGGGGGGACATGACCTCGTCCAGGGCTCTGGCCGGCAGCCCCAGGCTGGGCTCTCCCAGGCCAACTTCACCCTGGGCCCTGTGAGGGTCTCCCACGGGGGCCAGTACAGATGCTACGGTGCACACAACCTCTCCTCCGAGTGGTCGGCCCCCAGTGACCCCCTGAGCATCCTGATCGCAGGTGAGGAGCCCAGCAGGTTCAGTCAGGGACCCAGGCTCCGCACAGGCCCTGCTGGGGGAGCCCAGGTGGTGATGGCCGGGATGAGGGGTGGGGGTCCTAAGGGACGGAGAGACAGACAGAGACAGGGGATGGGCGGGGAGGGGGAGACTCAGAGAAAACAGAGACAGAGACACTGAGGGTCCCAGGGAGAGGCCTGGGGAGGTGTCAGCTCAGAACGAGGTGGGGCAGCCCCTCACCCATCCTTCTTCTCTCCAGGACAGATCCGTGGCAGACCCTCCCTCTCGGTGCAGCCGGGCCCCACGGTGGCCTCAGGAGAGAACGTGACCCTGCTGTGTCAGTCACGGGAGCAGTTGGACACTTTCCTTCTGACCAAGGAGGGGGCAGCCCATCACCCACTGCGTCTGAGATCAGAGCACCAAGCTCAGCAGCACCAGGCTGAATTCCCCATGAGTCCTGTGACCTCAGCCCACGCGGGGACCTACAGGTGCTACAGCTCACGCAGATTCTTCCCCTACCTGCTGTCTCACCCCAGTGACCCCCTGGAGCTCGTGGTCTCAGGTGAGGCCGCTGACCCTGTCCTCTCTGAGCTCAAACCTCAGCTCAGGCCCTGCCCCCAGGAGAGCTCAGGACGCTAAGGAAAGAGGGGAGTAAAGGGGGAGGGTCGGCAGGGGAGGGCCCAGCCCATGAGAGGGTGGAAATAGTCAGGGACCTCCTAATCCTGGGCTCCCACCCCAGAGACCTCAGATGGGGCTAAAGGCCAGGGAGGGCTGAAATGAGATATGGAGAAACCTTGGAGGAATCATGCTTAGGCTGAGGGTAGAAGATGGAGGCCCCACCCACTCCCCACCTGGGCTCCCCTGGCGGCCCCAAAATACTCAGTGCATACCTGAGACGAAGGGGAGATCATGCACCTGCTCACTGCAGCAATGCAGGCAAATTATTCAACAGCAAACCTCGTGTGCAATTCCTTTCTGTCCTTTATTTTTTATGTCCACATATCTAGTTTCTCTTTCTGTTTCTGAAGATTTCAAAGCAATGCTGGCATTTATAATTTACACATTTAATTTGTTAGGTAGCGTTATGATGTAAAATAACTGTGCTCTGATTTTCTTTGGGATTAAATTAAATATGTGCATTCATGATGGAGAATAACTTCTCATTAATAATGTCTTTGTATCCAATACATTTAAAATTAAACTTTATACAGTTAGCAGATGCTTGAAGTTGTATTCATAAAAATTGTGGACATTGTGAATTTTAAGCATTGTTTTACTACTTGAATAATTTGAAAGTCTTTGATTCCTTTCTATTTTCTAAAATTAGTTACGTATGGATGAGAAAGCTATTGGTTTGGGTATGCTAATTTTAGTTCCTATTAACTTACCACAGACACACTCCCTTTCAATCCTTTCCGAAATGATCTCTTCTGATTTATTGATAATAATTACATTAACCACAAGAAAATGGAGGACAAACTTGTTTGTTTCTAAATTATATAATACTCTTCTCACTTCAAATATATATGTATGTGTTTATATATACTCACACACTATTATATATCTTATAATATATATTATGTATTATATATTTATATATACACTATTATATATCTTATATATTATGTATTATATATTTATATATACCCACACATTATTATATCTTATAATATATATTATGTATTATATATTTATATATACCCACACATTATTATATCTTATAATATATATTATGTATTATATATTTATATATGCACTATTATATATCTTATATATTATGTATTATATATTTATATTACCCACACATTATTATATCTTATAATATATATTATGTATTATATATTTATATATACACACACTATTATATATCTTATTATATATTATGTATTATATATTTATATATACTATTATATATCTTATAATATATAATGTATTATATATTTATATATACACACACTATTATATATCTTATATATTATGTATTATATATTTATATATACATACTATTATATATCTTATAATATATTATGTATTATATATTTATATATATACACTATTATATATCTTATTATATATTATATATTTATATATGCACACACTATTACATATCTTATTATATATTTATATGTATACACACACTATTATATATCTTATTATATATTATGTACTATATATTTATATATACTATTATATATCTTATAATATATAATGTATTATATATTTATATATACACACACTATTATATATCTTATATATTATGTATTATATATTTATATATACATACTATTATATATCTTATAATATATTATGTATTATATATTTATATATATACACTATTATATATCTTATTATATATTATATATTTATATATGCACACACTATTACATATCTTATTATATATTTATATGTATACACACACTATTATATATCTTATTATATATTATGTACTATATATTTATATATACTATTATATATCTTATAATATATAATGTATTATATATTTATATATACACACACTATTATATATCTTATATATTATGTATTATATATTTATATATACATACTATTATATATCTTATAATATATTATGTATTATATATTTATATATACACACTATTATATATCTTATTATATATTATATATTTATATATGCACACACTATTACATATCTTATTATATATTTATATGTATACACACACTATTATATATCTTATATATTATATATTTATATATACTCACACTATATCTTATAATACATATTATGCATACACATATGCATAATACATATTATCTATACACATATGCATAATACATATTATGTATACACATATGCATAACACATATTATGTATACACACATATTTACACCTATGCATATATGTATGTATGTATGCGAATGTACCTCTGCCACGGCAGGGAAAGGTTCTATCACACAACTACAGAGCAGTTAGGAGAAGTGTAGACACAAAGGAATGCAGCAACTGAGGGACATGTTGGCTTAAGTCTCTTCAACTCCTCACACACCTCCCCCTTTTTTGGTTGATTCTCAGGAGCAGCTGAGACCCTCAGCCCATCGCAAAACAAGACAGACTCCAAGACTGGTGTGTAAGGAGATGCTCTCGGTTATGGGGCTGGCACAGAGGGTCAGGTCCTGTGAAGGGGAGGTGGGTGCCCTGGGTGGACATCCAGGGGTCCCGGGTGATGTTGATCTGCCCTGACCTCTGAGACCTCTTGGTCCACCATCCCCAGCCTCACACCCCCAGGATTACACAGTGGAGAATCTCATCCGCGTGGCTGTGGCTGGCTTGGTCCTGGTGGTCCTCGGGATTCTGCTGCTTTAGGACTGGCACAGCTAGAGAAGTCCCCAAGATGCAGCAAGGAGGTAAATACATGAGAGAACAATGCACCCTTCAGAGTGCCAGAGCCTTGGCAATGAATCTGATAGTCCTAGGAGGTTCTGGAAGAAAGTCTGGACCATCATTCGGGAAACCGTCTACTGAGAAAGTCGAGAAGGGGAGGCTTGGGTCAGGTTCAGGAAGATGTCTGGGTGCCTGTAGAGAACGCTTCCTCCATTAAACTTCCATTAAATGGCAGTGCTTTCAGTCCTGCTGTTGTGGATCCTCCGTGTCTGCCCCTCCCTTCCTTTCGCTCTCTGTGATGTGAAGGCACGTCCCCCATGGTGGGTTTGCATCCACACCCCTGCGATCACGTGCTCTGGTCCACTGTCATGTAATACATTTGTCTTTGTTTCCAACTACCGCATTCTCTAAAGTGAACTATTGATTCTCCATCTTTTCAGTTCTGAGCATAGATCTGGATTAAATAACTGGAATAGGTGGGCAGATTTGTATTTGGGACTTTGAAACATGAGTCTGAGGCCAGGCACAGTGGCTCACACCTGTAATCCCAGCACTTTGGGAGGCTGAGGTGGGCGGATCACTTGAGGTCAGAAGTTCGAGACCAACCTGGCCAACATGGTGAAACCCTGTCTCTACTAAAAGATACAAAAATTAGCTGGGTGTGGCAGTGAGCACCTGTAATCCCAGCTGCTCAGGAAGCTGAGGCGGGAGAATAGCTTGAACCCGGGAGGCGGAGGTTGCAGTGAGCCAAGATCTTGCCACTGCACTCCAGCCTGGGCAACAGAGCAAGACTCCATCTCCAAAAAAAAAAAAAAAAAGGGAAATATGAGTCTGAAATGATGCCCTAGCACCCTCTCTGGACCCTGAATTCCCTTCACTCTTCATCGGATGATACCTGTGTACTTTGTCCAGAAATATCATCTCTCAGAATGAGCACACTAACGCTCGAAGGCTCAGCCTCATGGTATTCTGTTAAACTGGCTCTCTGAAAAAATTATTTTCTTAAGAAAACTCTGAACATATAAAGCCCCAGATTTATGGTATTTGCTGATTAGTGTGGTATAAATACGTCCTTTATGGCCAACTTCAGGGTGCCCATATGACGCCATTGAATGCACAGTTGGGAAGTAGTCAAAAGAATTGTCGTTCACACGAGTATGAACCAGTTGTAAAGTTTATTTAAAGGTTATAATAATTTCTGCTTCATTCTTATGGTGTAGTTTCAGTAAAATTGTAATGTCAAAAATCATAGCACAATGGAGGGAAAAGAAAAAAATAGGCCGGGTGTGGTGGCTCATGCCTGTAATCCCAACACTTTGGGAGGCCGAGGCAGGAGGATCACCTGAGGTCAGGAGTTCGAGACCAGCCTGGCCAACATGGTGAAACGCTGTCTCTACTAAAAATACAAAAATTAGCCAGACATGGTGGCGCCTGCCTGTAATCCCAGCTACTTGGGAGGCCAAGGCACGAGAATCGCATGAACCCAGGAGGCGGAGGTTGCAGTGAGCCGAGATCACTACAGCCTGGGTGATAGAGCAAGACTCAGTCTCAAGAAAAGAAAAAAGTAGCAAAATCATTTTTTGGAAAGAATATTGAACATGTAGAATTTTAGTACATTAATAGTAAGAGTACAAATTGCTTTAATCAATTAAGGAAGTGTATTGGAATTATCTAGTTAAAAAGAGGAGGCACATGGCTGTGACCCTTCTTAATTATGTACTTAATTATGTACCCTAGAGATAAATGTCTACTTATGTGTCATGATACACTCACAACTGTTATAGGAATGCTGTTCCTATTAGCCAAAGCTATAAAATACCAAAGTCCACCTACGAAAAAAATAAACATAGTGTGGTAAATAGACTCAGTGGAATATTACAAGGTAGTAAAATGCATAAATGAAAATAACAAACAGCACCATACTTCAATTTTCAAGCATAAAGTCAAGTAAATGAAGTATTATTTGAAAATGTGTGCATGGTTATTTCATTACATAAAGGTCAAAAGGAGGGTACATTTATTATTTAGGAAAACACACCTAAGATATCTTTGTAAAATCTGTAAAATCAATAGTACTGTTTCCCCTCTTTCATTCCTTATCTTGAAAATGCTTGTCTCTTTTTCTGCCATGGCTTTCTACCTTGCTTGATATATTACAATTTTGTAACCTGCTTATTTCATCATATGTCATAAGTTCACATGTATATCCCATGAATTATTGAGGGTCTTATTCATTTCAAGTGGCATTTAGGTTTTTAAAAATATCTTTTGGCGACCAGGTGCAGTGGCTCATGCCTGTAATCCCAGCACTTTGGGAAGCCAAGGCAGGTGGATCACGAGTTCAAGAGACAGAGATCATCCTGGCGAACATGGTGAAACCCCGTCTCTACTAAAAATACAAAAAAAAAAAAAAAAATAGCTGGGCATGGTAGAGGGTGCCTGTAGTCCCAGCTTCTCAGGAGGCTGAGGCGGGAGAATGGCATGAACCCGAGAGACGGAGGTTGCAGTGAGCCGAGATCGTGCCACTGCACTCCAGCCTGGCAACAGAGTGAGACTCTGTCTCAAAAAAAAAAAAAAAAGAAAGAAAGAAAGGAAGAAAAAAAAATCTTCTGGCATTAACTATTAAGAAATTGCACTATAAAAAGAGAATATAATGCATAAGACGGCAATTTGAAAAGATTCAGATATAATTTTTTCTTATCTAGTAAATACTTAGTAATTTGTCTAATGCATGCCTTAAATACATACCACTTTATGCAGAGGTTGCCATGAGCCGAGATCGCGCCGTTGCACTCTAGCCTGGGTGGCAGAGCAAGACTCCATCTCAAAAAAAAAAAAGAAAATCTCACAGAAGGAGACCCAGAGCTTCCAGCCTCGCCCAGAGTCTTGGCTCACTCCCTGTGTGTGTGGACCCTAGGGAGCCTCTTCTGTTCCCCACAGAGGTGGAAACTTCCTCCTTAATAACCCCTTGATGGTCCCAGGCACTGGTGACCACTGAGCTTTGCTCTCTCTTTTTTCTTATGGTTCCCTGTCTACTTCCAGGGCTATCACTTTACTTTTTGTGCATTAGACCATGAATAATGTTTTAGAAACATTCTATCAAATTTCTCAGTGCTAGGAACAACTGAGGTTTTTGATTGGGTGCCTCAAATGTCTACCCTTACTGTGGAGTCCGACAACAGGATTCTAACAAGTCCCAACCCCTTCATGCCTTAACCTGGTCTGGAAATAAATTATGTTTAAGCCATCCCATACCCCAGCCACATCAAGCCCCACAACCACTCTGAGAAGTGAGATTTATAGCAAAATGCTCCAAACAAGGTAACTAAGGTTCAGACAAGGGATGTTAATGTGTCCATTTACATAAACAAAAAATGGTAGATGATCAGCTTTCCCTTTGAAATCAGAGTACTAATCTGACTCATTGTTCCCTGAATTTTAGAGGCAGGACCTCAGGAGGAGCTAAGAATCCTACCCCAGGAAAATTACCAATATCAGAAAGGAAACAATGACATCAGTACAGATCCTACAGAATTCAAAAGATTCTAAGTGGACATTATGAAGACATTATTCAGCTTAGATGAAGTGGTCACATATCACAAGAAAACAAACTGTCTAAAACAATCTCTGAAATACCTAGACATTCCCTGAATCATTGAGTTATTAAATAAAATACATTTTAAAATTAAACTCTTTTCAGGAAATAAACTTCAATGTCCCCTAGTGCACTCTCCAAAACATGTAGATGGGAATAAATACTGTTCTGAAAGACATTTCCCTGGAATTACAACCATTCAATATATTTTAAAAGGCAATCATAAAAATATAAAAAGGATATATCAGGAGAAGAAATGTAAATGGCCTAAATTCCCCACATAAAAGGCATAGAGTGGCAACGTGGATAAAAAGCCAAGAGCCAACTGCCTGCTGTCTTCAAGAGACCCATCTCACATGTAATGACACCCACAGGCTCAAAGTAAAAGGATGAAGAAATATTTACTAGGCAACCAGGAAACAAAAAAAAGGAAGGCATTCCTATTCTTATATCACATGAAACACACTTTAAATCAACAGCAATCAGGAAGGACAAAGAAGGGCATTACAAAATGATAAAGGGTTCAATTTGACAGAAGACTTAACTATTCTAAATATATATGCACCCAAATTTGGAGCACCCCGATTCATAAAACAAGTTATTCTTCACCTATGAAAAGAGTTAGACAGCCACACAATAATAGTAAGGGACTTCAGTATCCCACTAACAACGTCAGATGAATCACTAAAACAGAAAACTAACAAAGAAATTCTGGTCTTAAAGACAACACTTGACCAATTGGACCTCATAGACATCTACAGAGTACTCCACCCAACAACTGCAGAATATAGATTCTTCTTATCTGCACACACAAAAAACATATCATATTCTAAGACTGGCCACAAAGCAAGTCTCAATAAATTCAAAGAATCAAAATCATAACAAGGCACACAATAAAAATAGAAAAAAATACCAAGATGATCTCTCAAAACTACAGAAAAACATGGAAATTTAACAACTTGTTTCTGAATGAATATTAAGAGCCATCTATGACAAATCCACAGCCAACATCATATTGAATGGTCAAAAGCTGGAACTGTACCCCTTGAGAACTCTTGGGTGAACAATGAAATTAAAGCAGAAATCACAAAACATTATTTAAAATTAATAAAAATAGAAACAAACTTACCAAAACCTTTGGGATGCAGTTAAAGCAGTGATAAGAGGAAAATTTATAGCAATACATGCCTCATCAGAAGTTTAGAAAGATCTCAAATTAGTGACTTAACACTGCATCTAGAGGAACTATTAAAAAAAAGGAACAGTCCAAACCCAAGGCCAGCAAAAGATGAGAAATAACTAAAGTCAGAGAGAACTGAATAAATTGAGACCAAAAAGTCCATACAAGAGATAAATAAAACCAAGAGTTTTTCTTTGAAAAAAAATAAACAAAATTCATAGACTGTTAGCTAGATTAACAAAGAAAAAGAGAAAAGATCCAAATAAACACAAATAGAACTGACAAAACAATGTTACGAACAATCCCACAGAAATAGAAAAGATCGTCAAAGACTATTATGAACACCTCTATACAAACAAGCTAGAAAACCTAGAAGAAATGGATAAATTCCTGGTAACACAAAATTTATCATATTTCAACCAGGAAGAAAGTGAAAACCTGAACAGACCAATAACAAGTTCAGAAATTTAATCAGTAATAAAAACCCTACTAACTAAAAATAGCCCAGGACCAGATGGATTCACAGCCAAAATCCAACAGCCATACAAAGAAGAACTGATACCGATCTTACTGAAACTTTTGGAAAAAATCAAGGAGTGGGGGCTTCTTCCTAACTCATTCTATGAAGCCATCATCACCATGATACCAACATCTGTCAGAGACATAATGAAAAAAAGAAAACTACAACTAAATATCCTTAATGAACATAGACATAAAATCCTCAACAAAATGCTAGCAAATTGAATCTGTCAGTGCATCAAAAGTTAATTCACATGATCAAGTAAGCTTTATTTTTGGGATGCAAGGTTGGTTCAACCTACAAAGTCAACGAATGTGATTCACCTCATAAACATAATTAAAAACAAAAACTATATGATCATCTCAATAGATGCAGAAAAAGCTTTCTGTAAAATCCAACATCCCTTCATGATAAAAACTGTCAATAGGCATCAAAGGAACATACCTCAAAATATTAAGAGCCATCTATGACAAACCCACAGCCAACATCATATTGATGGGCAAAAGCTGGAACCATACCCCTTGAGAACCGAAACAAGACCAGGATGACCACTCCCGCCATTTTAATTCAACATGGTACTGGAAGTCCTAGCCAAAGCAATCAGGCAAGAGAAGGAAATAAAAGGCATTAAAATTGGAAAAGAAGTAGTGATACTGTCTCTCTTTGCTGATGAAATAATTTTATACATAGAAAACCCTAAAGACTCTGTCAGAAGGCTCCTGAAACTGATAAACAAATTCAATAAAGTTTCGGGATTAAAAAAATGTACACAAATTAGTAACATTTCTATGCACCACTAACATTCTAGCTGAGAACTAAATCAAGAACACAATTCCATTTACACTAGCCACAAAGAAAATAAAATACCTAGGAATCCATCTAACCAAGAAGGTGAAAATTCTCTACAAGGAGAACTACAAAACACTTCTGAAAGAAATAAGAAATGATACAAACAAATGGAAGAATATTCCATGCTCATGAATTAGGAGAACAAATAGTTAAAATCGCCATACTTCCAAAAACAAATTGCAGACTCAATGCTATCCATTTCAAAATGCAATGTCATTTTTCACGAAATTATAAAAATTTATTCTAAAATGTATTTGGCACCAAAAAAAGAGCCTGAATACACATAGGAATCCTAAGCACAAAGAACAAAGCCCAGGCATCACATTACCCAACTTCAAACTATACTACAATGCTATAGTAACCCAAACAGCATGATACTACTACAAAAACAGACACATAGACCAATGAGACAGAATAGAGAACCCAGAAATGAGGCTACATACCTACAATCATCTTTGAAAAAATTGACAAAAACAAGCAATGTGGAAAGTACCCTTTCTTCAATAAATAGTTCTGGGATAACTGACTACTCATATGCAAAATAATAGAACTGGACCCCTAACTCTCACTATATACAAAAATTAACCCAAGATAGTTTAAAGATTTAAATGTAAAACCTCAAAATATTAAAATTCTAGAAGAAAACCTAGGAAATATCCTTCTCAAGATAGACTTTGGCAAAGAATTTATGGCTAACTCCCCAAAACCAATTGTGACAAAGACAGAAATTGGGACCTAACTCAACTGAAGAGCTTCTGCACAGCAAACGAAAGTATCAACAGAGTAAACAGATAACCTACAGACTGGGAGAAAATATTTGCAAACTATGCATCTGACAAAGTTCTAATATCCAGAATCTATAAGGAATGTAAACAAATCAACAAGCAGAAAACCAAAAAACCTCAATTAAGTATGACATGAACAGACACTTCTCAAAAGAAGATGTACACATGGCCAAAAAACATATGAACAAATGCTTATTATCAGTAATCATCAGAGAAATGCAAATTAAAACCACAGTGAGATACCATCTCACAACAATCAGAGAAGCAGAAGCAATTACTAAAAAGTTTTTTGTTTTTTTTAATAACAGATGCTGACAAGATTGTGGAGAAAAGGGAACACTTATACACTCTTGGTGGGAATGTTAACTAGTTCAGCCAATGTGATAAGCAGTTTGGAGACTTCTCAAATAACTTAAAATAGAACTACTATTCAATCAAGCAATCCCACTACTGGGTATATACCAAAAGGAAGGTAATTAACTATGTCAAAAAGACACATGCACTAGTATATTCATTGCTGTGCAATTCAGAATAGCAAAGATTTGCAGTCAACCTAAGTGCTCACCAACAGTGGATTAGTTAAAGAAAATGTGCTACATATACACATGGAACATTACATGGCCATAAAAAATAATGAAATCATGTCCTTTGCAGCAACATGAATGTAGCAGGAGGTCAATCTCCTAAGTGAACTAACCCAGGAACAGAAAACCAAATACCACATGTTATCACTTATAACTGAGAACCAAACATTGAATACACATGAACATAAAGATGGAAACAACAGATACCGAGGACTACAGATGGGGGGAGGAGTAGGGAGGTATAGGCTGAAGAAACACCTGTTGGATTCTATGCTCATTGCCTGGGTGATGGCATTGTTGGAACCACAAACCTCAGAGTCACACAATATGCCTATGTAACAAACCTGCATGCATACCTTTAATCTACAGTAAAGGTTGAAGTTATTTAAAAATAGGAAGAAGAATTACCCTATACCTAAAGCTAAGATTTTTCCCTTTGAATATTCGTTTCTTCATCACTGTAGATAAGCAGGGAAAGAAAAATTATTATACTATACTAGCCTTTTATGTGACCATGAGGATTTGGGGTAGGTAGGTGGACAGCTTAGATAATTCACCAGGATATTGATACAGGCTCCATGGCTGGAAATAACCAAGGATGAGTGCTGTGTTTTGAGTGGTCTCCCCCAGAAACGTTTGTTGAAATCCTAACCCCTGGTATGTATGAATGTGAATTCATATTATATAAAAAGGAATAAATAGCCTGAGCACAGTGGCTCACACCTGTAATCCCAGCACTTTGGGAGGCCAAAGCAGGTGGATCATTTGAGGTCAGGAGTTCTGGCCAATATGGCAAAACTTCATCTCTACAAAAAAAAAATACAAAAAAAAAAATTGGCTGGGTATGGTGGCGCATGCCTGTAGTCCCAGCTACTCAGGAGGCTGAGGCAGGAATTGCTGAAACCTGGAAGGCAGAGGTTGCAGTGAGCCAAGATCATGCCACTGCACTCCAGCCTGGGTGAGACGGCAAGATATTCTGTCAAAAATAAATAAATAAAAAACAGAAGAAGAAATACAAGAATGACAGCAAACTTTGTATTCAAAACTATGAAAGTAAGAAATAGGTGGACCAACATTTTTAAAGTGCTACAAGAAAATATTTCAAACTAGAATCTTTCAACCTGAAAAGGAAAACATTTTCCTGCAATAAAGGTGCCATTAAAAATGTCTCACAATTTATTACATGAAGCATTGTTCTACAATAAATGTTAAGCTCTTGAAGCAAAGATTAATGATACCATTTAGTAACTTGAAATTCAAAAAAGTGGAAGTATCCCAAGAGGCAAATACGTGTGCAATTATTAAATGTTTCATATCAACACCCAACCTTATGCTGTCTACATAAGCTGCACTTCAAATACTAATCCACAAGATGTAAATATTGAAAGAATGACATTACATTGTCATGATAATGCCCAGTGCAAAATATGCTTCTAGTCAGTTGTATACATAGAATAGGTAAATGTTTGTAATAAAAAGTATTCCTCAATAGAAGTTTCTTAACTCAAAGAATGAAATATTTCACCATGCACATACAAAGAAGAGATATATGGAGATATGAAGAGGAGTACTTCATAATGACAAAGAGGCAAATTCATAAATAAGACATAATAATCCTAAATGCCTACACACCTAAAGCTGGAACCTCAAAACACATTAAATTAAAGGCATAATTCAAAACATAATCAATCACATCCAAATTGCAGCTAGAGATAGCAACATTCACCTCACTTCCAGAACAAGTACACAGAAAATTATTAAGCATATGAAAGACTTGAAAAACATTTGTGTAGGCGGCGGGTGCATAAGGTTGGGTGTTGATATGAAACATTTAATAATTTCAATAATCCTAGCACTTTGGGAGGCCAAAATGGGAGGATCACTTGAGGCCAGGAGTTTGAGACCAGCCTGGGCACCATAGTGAGACCCCGTCTCTATTTTTTTTAAATAAAGAAAAACATTTGAATGATTTTTTTCTTAACTGACATTTAGAAAACATCCACCTCAAATCTTCCTAATCCACAAACTTGTCTAGCACCCCTGGAACATTCACCAAAATAAATTTTTAAATGCTGAATCATAGGTAATATGATAGATGAAACAGTTGAATTAAATTATAAATGTACAACAAGGAAATGCTGGGGAAATTATCAAATATTTTAAAATTAATAAACACACATAGCAATAAACAATGAGTGGAAGAAAAACATTTCAAAGAAAGGTGGAAAATATTTTGTATCAATTAAAAATGAAAACACATCTCGGCAAATGACTGGGGATACAGATAGAACAGTGTTAAAGGAAAATAAGCCTCAAATGTCTGTGTTAGAAAAGAAGGAAGAGCTGAGTAAATAGGTAACTTTCGCTTGCAGAAATACTACACATCAGCAAATTAATTCCAAAGTAACGTCGAGGAAAAACATAAAATGGCAAGCAAATATATACGTGCATATGTACGTATATTCATAAATGACAAACAGGACAGAAAAATCAGTGACATCAATTTTGTTCCTTAGAAGAAACAGGAAAATTGACCCCAAAAAACTTTCCAGGCCACATTTGGTCATGATGGAAATATTTTGGCACTTCCTGGTTAAGCTCAACACCAACTTGCACCCAAAACCAATAATTTCATTCCTAGGTAAATATGTCTAATTAATTCAGCATATGTATGCAAGGGATCACACAGAAACACGATTATCAAGGCCCGAGTTATAAAAGAGAAAATCCGGAAACAACACAAATGTCCATGATAAAAAGAGTGGATAATTACATGTTGATAAAGTTATGTATGGACTATTAAACTGCAATCCAAAAGAATAAAATAGAACTATAAAATTCAATATGTATATGGTGTCATAGAAACACAAATGTGAGAAAAAGAAAGAAAAATACAAAATTTATATTTTTTAAAATTTGAAACAACTATATATGTGAGTGCTTAGGGTGTGTGTGTGTGTGTGTGTGTATAACCATATGTATATAAACGCACACATACGCACACATATAGAATGTCCCGGCCAGGCATGGTGGCTCACACCTGTAATCTCAGCACTTTGGGAGGCTGAAGTAGACAGATCACTTGAGGTTAGGAGTTCAAGACCAGCCTGGCCAACATGGAGAAACCTCCTCTCTACTAAAAGTACAAAAATTAGGTGGGCGTGATGGTGGGTGCCTGTAAATCCAGCTACTTAGGAGGCTGAGGCACGAGAATTGCGTGAACCTGGGAGGTGGAGGCTGCAATGAGCCGAGGTCTCACCACTGCATTCCAAACTGGGTGACGAAGTGAGATTGCGTCTCAAAAAAAAAAAAAGTTCTAAAAGTTGTGACTTGGGTGTGGCAGATTGTGACATACTGCCAGCTGCTAGAAATGCTGGGGCAGGAGGATTGCTTGAACTCTGAAGTCAAAGAACAGCCTGGGGAAAATAGCACATGAAGAAGAGTTTGAATCTCAGATAAAAACAACAAAAATACATCAAAAGTCTTTAATGTAAGCCAAGCATTCAGTCATCTCCTGTATGAGAGATTGGATCTGAGACGTGTTTTGAGTTGGTTATAGTGAAGGATGCAAGGTGTCAATTCTAGTTGGAACAATTTCCAGGAAGCCATGTTCCGCTCTTGACCAAACAGCCACTGGGCCTCATGCAAGGTAGAAATAGCCTGCATACGTCATCCTCCCATGATGTGGTCAGCATGTAAACTGCATGAGCCCATCACAACATCCTGTGTGCTGCTGAACTGAGCTGGGGCGCAGCCGCCTGTCTGCACCGGCAGCACCATGTCGCTCATGGTCGTCAGCATGGCGTGTGTTGGTGAGTCCTGGAAGGGAATCGAGGGAGGGAGCGCTGGGGTGGAGATCTGGGCCTGGAGTGGAGATCTGGGCCTGGAGTGGAGATATGGGCCTGGAGTGGAGATATAGGCCTGGAGTGGAGATATGGGCCTGGGGTGGAGATATGGGCCTGGAGTGGAGATATGGGCCTGGAACTGTAGATATGGGCCTGAAGTAGAGATATGGGCCTGGAGTAGAGATATGGGCCTGGAACTGTAGATATGGGCCTGGAGTGGAGATATTGGCTTGGAGTGCAGATATGGACCTGGAATTGAGATACGGGCCTGGAGGTGGAGATATGGGCCTAGAGTGGAGATATGGGCCTGGAGGTGGAGATATGGGCCTGGAACTGTAGATATGGGCCTGGAGTAGAGATACGGGCCTGGAGTGGAGATGTTGGCTTGGAGTGCAGATATGGGCCTGGAATGGAGACACGGGCCTGGAGGTGGAGATACAGGCCTGGAGGTGGAGATATGGGCCTGGAGTGTAGATATGGGCCTGGAGTAGAGATATAGGACGGAGGTGGAGATATAGGCCTGGAGTGGAGATATGGGCCTGGAGTAGAGATATAGGACGGAGGTGGAGATATAGGCCTGGAGTGGAGATATGGGCCTAGAGGTGGAGATATGGGCCTGGAGTGGAGATATGGGCCTGGAGGTGATGTACAGATGGATCATCCATCATGATCTTTCTTTCCAGGGTTCTTCTTGCTGGAGGGGCCCTGGCCACATGTGGGTGAGTCCTTCCCCCAAACCTTAGGTTGTCATCTCCCCACATAAGATGATGCTCCTGAAACGGGAGGCAGGCGACACAGGGGGTTGACTGATGGGCTGACCATGGGAAGCCATGTGGGAATCTCTCATGAACTAGGAAAAGGAAGCCAGGGGAAGCTTCGCCACAGTTCTGTCCTAGCCCTCCCCGGCCTTTCTTTCCCTTGGCTGAGTCTGTGGGGACCCAGGGGGAGACTGAAGTGCTCAAAGGAGTGGTGTGCAGGGAGGAAGTGGTGTCACCGGCAGAGGAAGGGAGAGAAGCAGTGCAAGGAACAACAGGCCTCTGAGGACAAGAGCATAACTCACACCCTCCAGCGTTTCCATGACGGTAGGGGCTGCAATGTGGCTGCTGTCATTCTACCTAAGAGGTGGGGGAACCACAGTCATGACCCTGACATTCCAGATCTTCTAATAGGGGCTCAGTTGTTTATTATGGTTCATGCATTAGCTGATCATGCCCTCCATCCTGTGTCTACCTTGTGTTCTTTTATGTAAGTAATTTTGCAGTGTTAAAATCTAGTAAGAGTCGCTTCTTCAGCACCTGCTCAAAGTTCTCAGCTGACACTTGCTGTAGGGAGACGCCATGTCTATGCGGGATGGGTCCTTCCTGTAGCCCTGGGCACCCAGGTGTGGTAGGAGCCTTAGAAACGTGGAAATGGGAGAATCTTCTGAGCACAGGGAGGGAGGGGCGGCTCCACATCCTCCTCTCTAAGGTGGTGCCTCCTTCTCCCCCAGGTGGTCAGGACAAGCCCTTCCTCTCTGCCTGGCCCGGCACTGTGGTGTCTGAAGGACAACATGTGACTCTTCAGTGTCGCTCTCGTCTTGGGTTTAATGAATTCAGTCTGTCCAAAGAAGACGGGATGCCTGTCCCTGAGCTCTACAACAGAATATTCCGGAACAGCTTTCTCATGGGCCCTGTGACCCCAGCACATGCAGGGACCTACAGATGTTGCAGTTCACACCCACACTCCCCCACTGGGTGGTCGGCACCCAGCAACCCTGTGGTGATCATGGTCACAGGTCAGAGGCTTTCTGTCTGGGCTTCTCACTGTCCCACCTCCTGAATCCCAGAGCTTCTGGTGGGGGCGTCCATCAGGGTCCAATCATCCAGGCCCCGACTGTATTTGGGGTAAAGGGGGATTCAGTACAGAGAAATAGTTGCTGTGGTGGGAAGAATAATTGTCCCCAGTGATGGCTACATGGTAATCCATGAACCCTGTGACTATTTATGTTATAGGGCAGGGGACTGAAGAGGAAGATGGAGCTCAGGTTGTTGATGAGTTGACCTTGCGATGGGGAGACAGCCTGGACTGTCCTGCTGTGCTCAGAGTAATCACAAGGGTCCTCATGAGAGGAGGAGGAAGAGGAAAGTGGGGTTAGAGCAACGTCGTGGGAGGGAGACTCCATCAGCCACAGCGGGCTTTGAAGATGGGGGAAGGCCATGAGCCACAAAGGCAGGTGGCCTCTAAGGGCTGGAGAAGTCAAGGGAACTGATTCTTCCCTGAGTCTCCAGAGGAAACACAGCCCTGCAGATGCCTTGATTTTAGCCCAGAGAGAACTGGGTCCGATTTCTGTTCTCCAGAAGTGGAAGGGGTCATTGTATTCTCTCCTGCCCCATGTTTGTGACAATTTTCTCCAGCAGCAACAGGAAACCAACACAGGAACCCAGGTGAAGCACAGGTTAAGAAACCAAACAAGGAGAAGGTTGGCTACACTGATTTTAGCATGGGTGGGATACTGATGCTACCACCAGGCTCGATCCACATAGGGAGGGGTTGATGCTCCTGGAACCAGCACCAGGGGCCACCCTATGGAAGCTGGGGCCATGGAGAAGGCACAGACATGAAAGGAGAGGCTCCCAATCCCCATCAGGAACAGGGACACTGATGCCTGCCTTACTGATGAGTTCGTACCTCCTGCCGGCCTTTCCAATCTGTCCAAAAGAGATTGATTCAGGCTGCTAAGAGCCTGGACATGCAGCCTGTCATGGTTCCTCTTCCACCCCCACATAAACACCAGGAAAGAGATTAGTGGGAAACAGATACAACAGCCTAAGAGGTGACACTGAGCACAGTGGGAAGGGAATCAGGGCTACTAGAGACAGAGAGACAGGGAAGAGGGAGGGAGACAGATGGAGGGACCTGCAACAGGGGTTATGGGCACAAAAGAACACGGAGACACAGACAGGAAGGAGAGAGATAGACACCATGGAGGGGAAGCCTCACTTATTTCAGGTCCCATGAATGGGATGAGAAAGGGAGACGCCTTCTGAACTCACAACCTCTCTTCTTAGGAGTCCACAGAAAACCTTCCCTCCTGGCCCACCCAGGTCCCCTGGTGAAATCGGGAGAGACGGTCATCCTGCAATGTTGGTCAGATGTCAGGTTTGAGCGCTTCCTTCTGCACAGAGAGGGGATCACTGAGGACCCCTTGCGCCTCGTTGGACAGCTCCACGATGCGGGTTCCCAGGTCAACTATTCCATGGGTCCCATGACACCTGCCCTTGCAGGGACCTACAGATGCTTTGGTTCTGTCACTCACTTACCCTATGAGTTGTCGGCTCCCAGTGACCCTCTGGACATCGTGGTCGTAGGTGAGAGAATACAGACCTGCCTCTCACCCTTGCTGGGAGATGGAGTGAATGATCTAGGACTGGAAGCCCCAGGTGGTCATGAGGAAGATGAGTGTGGGGTTCCTATGGAGAGAAAGTGACTTGGTGAGGTCTGTACCAACAAAGGCAGAGAAACAGGAGACACAAGTACAGACCTCATGTCATAACATAGAAGCCAGACACAGGGGCCATACAAGGTGTTAGAAAAAGAGATAAAGAGGTAAAGAAGACACAGAGAGACAGACATATCCCAGAGAGAGGTGTCCTTCTATGCTGACTTTGTTCAGAGACCAGGCACAGGTTAGAAGGTTCCATTCTGTTTTACCTCTACAAAGTGTTCTCTCCCAGGAGAACCCAAAGAGACACATCTATCTGGCCTGAGTTGGGCCATGTGGCCCCAGGCTGGTGGCACCTACAGATGTTGTGTTTATTCTTAAACCTCTGCCTTCCGTGCAGTGGAGCTGTCATCGTCCCAGGACACCATGGCCCCAGGTGAGGGAGCAGAACACCAACCCCTGTATGCTGTGAGTTCCTGGAGTCCCCATACTGGATTCTGAGGCTCATATTCAAATAGCACCACATGTTATAGGATTACTGAGAACAAAAGCCCACAGAGAGACACGGAGTGAAATCAGGGAAATCAAAAAGCAAAGACATGAACACACACACAGAATGAGCCAGAAGAAGGGAATTGAGAGACTCACAGACACATAAAGAGATAGAAAAAGAGGGCAGAGAAGTGGAGCGTATGATGGAAGGAAGCAGAGAAAAGCCCTAAAATCAGAGCCCTGAGGGAGGGGCACAAAGACAGGGAAAGATAAAGATGTGAGGATGGATTGCAGAGACTCCAAAAGGGAACTAGAGAGACTGAGAGGCAGAGAAAGACAAGGAGATGGAGAGAGACAGATGATAGATGGACAGATAGATATAGATAGATGAAAGATAAAAGGTAGATGATAGATAATAGAGAGACAGGTGATAGACAAATAGATGATGAATGACTGATAGATGATATAGATAGACAAGTAGAAAGACAGACAGATGATATATAAATAGATATAGAGAGATAGAAAGACAGATAAACACATGATGATAGATGGATAGATGCATACATACATACATTGATTGATAGATGATAGATAACAGAGAGATAGGTCATAGATACACAGATGATGATAGATGATAGATACATACATAGATAAATGATAGATCGATCAATAGATAATAGATAGAAATATGCAGAAAGTTATGAGCAAGACAGAAAGTGAGAGACTCAGAATTAAAGAAAGAGGAAGATCAAGTCAACCAGTCCAAGGAGGGTCAGAGAGAATAAAATGGTACAAAAAAAGAAAACATAGCTAGGGATGGAGAAGTGAGGTCAGAGACCTAGAGAGACAGAGAAGGTGGAAGGAGGAAATAGACATGAAGAGAGATGGGGGTGGAGGGTGAGAGAGAGAAAGAGAGCATTAAGTCATAGAGCAGGGGAGTGAGTTCTCAGCTCAGGTGTGAGGAGAGCTGTGACAAGGAAGAACCTCCCTGAGGAAACCACCTCTTCTTCTTCCAGGTCTATATGGGAAACCTTCTCTCTCAGCCCAGCCGGGCCCCACGGTTCAGGCAGGAGAGAATGTGACCTTGTCCTGCAGCTCCCGGAGCTTGTTTGACATTTACCATCTATCCAGGGAGGCGGAGGCCGGTGAACTTAGGCTCACTGCAGTGCTGAGGGTCAATGGAACATTCCAGGCCAACTTCCCTCTGGGCCCTGTGACCCACGGAGGGAACTACAGATGCTTCGGCTCTTTCCGTGCCCTGCCCCATGCGTGGTCAGACCCGAGTGACCCACTGCCCGTTTCTGTCACAGGTGAGAAAACACCATGCCTGTCCCATGTCTTGTGATCCTAGAGCCATAGCTGAGGAGCTTCCTGCTGATGATGGAGAGAAGCATGGACAGATGCCGAGACAGAACACACAGCATGGGTGTAAGGGCGGGGTCAGGGCGCAGGATGGCAGACAGGGCACCTCCAAACCCTCCTGTATGGCCTGCAAGGATGCCCTTGATCAGGGTTCCAGGCACCCAGGCAGATGGAGAAAGAGGTCAGAACAGACCCAGAGGAGGGAGACTGGGCTCTGCCTGGGGAGATCAGAGGTTCTCTCAGCCCCTCAACCTTACCCACTTCCCAGAAGCCCATCCTGGCCTGTCACCCACAGAGAGATGTCATCACCAGCAACGCCTACACCCTTTTCTTTTTGTTTGAAGAAATATTTATTGAGGTGAAATATACCTATGTAATTTACCACCTTTACCATTTTTAAGTGTGAAGTCTACTGTTCATAAATACATTTATAGGCTGGGCACGGTGGCTCACGGTTGTAATCCCAACACTTTGAGAGGCCAAGGCAGGTGGATCATTTGAGATCAGGGGCTCAAGACCACCCTGGCCAACATGGGGAAAATCCATCTGTACTAAAAATACAAAATAATAATTATAATGATAATAATTAGCCGAGCATGGTGGCACATGCCTGTAGTCCCAGCTACTTGGTAGGGTTGGGCAGGAGTTGCACTTAATTGCAGGAGGCGGAGGTTGCAGTGAGCTGAGATCATGCCACTGCACTGCAGCCTGGGCAACAGAGAGAGACACTCTCTCAAAATTAATTAATTAATTAATTAGTATTCTTTTTTTTTTACCCTCCACCCTTCCCTTCCTGGCCTCTGGTAGCCACCATTCTACTCTCTACCTTTGTGAGATCCACCTTTTAGCTCCTGCATATGAGTGAGAAATGGAAATACTTGTAATGACCTCCAGTTCCATTCATGTGGCTGTAAATGACAGGATGTTACTCTTTCTATGGATGAGTTGTCCCTATTGTGTGTGTGTACCACATTCTCTCCATCCATTCACCCACTGATGGGCAGGTAGGTTGATCCACATCTTGGCTACTGTGAACACTGCTGGAACAGTCATGGGAGTGCAGATGTCACTTCGATACGCTGATGTCCTTTCCTTTGGGTTTACACCCAGTCATGGAATTGCTAGATCCTCTGGAAGTGTCTTTTTACATTTTGTTTTATGGTTTTTGTTTTTGTTTTTGTTTTTTTTAGACTGTTTCACTCTTGTTGCCCAGGCTGGAGTGCAGTGGCGCCATCTGGGCTCACTGCAACCTCCACCTCCAGGATTCAAGAGATTCCCCAGCCTCAGCCTCCCAAGTAGCTGGGTTACTGGCTCCCACCACCACACTCGGCTAATTTTTATATTTTTAGTAGAGACAGAGTTTCGCTATATTGGCCAGGCTGCTCTTCAACTCCTGACCTCAAGTGACCTACCCACCTCGGCCTCCCAATGTGCTGGGATTACAGGCATGAACCACTGTGCCCGACCTCATTTTATTTTTTGAGGAACTTCCATACTCTTCTCCTCTGTAATGGCTGTACTAATTTACATTCGTATCAGCAGTGTACCAGATGCAACCCTGGTTGACTCAGCAGAGCAAGAGACGTGCAGTAAGAGAGAATTTAGCTTATTTATGCACACGACACTTCCACTCACTCACTCGTTCAGCCAATGCCCCATGCTCAGGCTGTGCAGTGTGGAATCTTTTCCTATTGTTGCCATAACAAATTTCCACAAGCTTCGTGGATGAAAACATGTTTTTCTTAATTATCTCACAGTGCTGTAACTCAGAAGTATGAACTGCATTTCACTGGGCTGATATCAAAGGGACAGTAAGGCTGGATTTCTTTTTAAGGTTCCAAGCAAGAATCTGCTCCTTAACGTTTCCCAGCTCCTAGAGGCTCCCACGTTCCTGGGCCCCTGGTCCCCTTCCTCCTTCCTCCTTCCTCAAAGCCCACAAAGGCTGGTCACGTCTCACATGGCATCATTCAGACTCTTCTTCTTTACCCACACCTTTTTCTCTGAATCCTGCTCTGCCTTCTTCCTCATCTTTTAAGGACTTTGGGATTCTATTGGGGTCACCAAGATAATCCATCTCAATCTCCCTAAAATCATCCAGCGTACCCTCTTTTTAAGTTCAGCTGATTAGCAACCGTAATGCCATCTGCAATCTTCATTCCTCCTTTCCTGTAAAATAACATATTCACAAGCTATGGAGGCTAAGACAGGGACATTTTGGGGGTGGGGCAGCATTCTCCTGCCTTCCACAAATGGTAAACAGGATGCATTTGGCCTCTGCTCTTGGGACGCTGATATTGCAGATGGGTAAATGCGAGGGCAGAGAATGAATGCACAAGGGTACCAATAAATGAATGATCCATTGGGAAGCATCTGTGCACCAAATCTGGGGTTTTTTGTGTGTGTGTGTGTTTTTTTTCTTTTTTTTTTTGAGTAGAGTCTCTCTCTGTTCCACAGGCTGGAGTGCAGTAGCACAATCTCAGCTCATTGCAACCTCTGCCTCCTGGGTTCATGCAATTCTCCTGCCTCAGCCTACCGAGTAGCTGGGATTACAGCTGTGCGCCACCACACTCGGCTAATTTTTTTGGTATATTTTTTTAGTAGAAATGAGGTTTCACCATGTTGTGCAGGCTGTCTCAAACTCCCAATCTCAAGTGATCCCACCGCCTTAGCGTCCCTAAGTGCAAAGATTACAGGCGAGAGCTACTGCGCCCAGCCAGGATTTAAAATAAGTAATAGATAATGCTGAGTATATAATTTCAGGTGACAGAGAAGGTCTCACTGATCAGATAATATTTGTGACCTTAATGGAAAAAATGGATTCAACCCTTGGAAGATTGGCGGAAGGATTTTCCACACTGAGCTCTCAGCCGTGAAGGCACAAAGGTGGAAACATTCTTAGTTCAAGGAAGAGGCTCTGCCTCAAATGCTGGGAATGAAGTGGGGAGAATGACAAGACAACTGTAGAGAGATGGAGAGCACACTGGGTACACAGGAAACTAAGGAGGAACAAGGAGCGTGTGTTTGATACTCACAGCCATTGGATTCAACTCAGAGCTAACTAGGAATCCCTACCTGATTAATAGTGACCGACATGAAAATAAGGGAGGCCCAGGTGCGTAACTGGAATCTAGGAGACGGTGGAAAAGGCAATTCCCGCCCCACTGGTGAAACGTAGGGTTGATTTACACACTAAATGAATGAAAGATGGATATAAGCTATGCTTGTGAGGTAGAATCATTTGCAGGGAGGGCTTGCTGGGTTTGATTTTTCCTAGTAGTTTAATCCTTGTTTCATTAATTTCTTTCTGAGATGTGTTTTTTTTCTACATCTAAATCCATACCTGGCAGAGGAGCGATAGACACATGAGGGGTGGTGCAAATGAAGGGACCTAGTATAATATAATATACAAGACTGTGGATGGGGGCTCACACCTGTAACCCAACACTTTGGGAGGCCAAGGCGGGTAGATCACTTAAGGGTAGGAGTTTGAGACCAGCCTGGCCAACATGGTGAAACCCCGTCTGTACTAAAAATACAAAAATTAGCCTGGTGCATTGGCACCTGCCTGTAATCCCAGCGACTGGGGAGGCTGAAGCAGAAGAATGGCTTCAACCCTGGAGGCAGAGGTTGAACTGAGATCGCATCACTGCACTCCAGCCTGACACAGGGGGACTCTGTCTCAAAAAATAAAAATAAAACATACATAATTATGACACACAGAAATTACAAAGGCAACTGGATACCAACCATCATTTTTCTATTTCTCTGTGTTTAATTCTTTGACCCTTTATCTTATCCATTAAACAATCAGGTTAAACCTCTTCCTTATTTGGCTTTCTGTGAGCTTGGGATCATATGGAAAATGTGAAAGCCTCCTGAACCCACCAGCACAGGTCCTGGAATAGAGAACGTGCTCTGTTCATGGCATAAAACTTGCCCCTTCACCCAAATCCCCCAATTCATCTCTACTTCCAATCACCTATGGAGATACAGATAGATCATGGGGAGGTAAACACTAATACTCTTTGGAGTGAGCTCAGATCTTGGACTCAGAGACCAGTGCCAGCACTAGCCCCTGGTCACATTTCGTACTAACTCACAGAAGGACAGGCTGTATTGAAACAATAAACGACGGAGAGGGCGGTCCTTCCCCGTGCTTCTCGGGTGGAATAGCAGCCTAATATATGTCTCAGCAGATCACAAAAAGTAGCATGTTGTTCCTGGGCTACATCATTATTTCATGGCTGTTTGATTTAAGTCAGTTCTACTTCACTTTTTTTATCTTGATTTCATTTTTTCTTTCTTTTCTTGGAGAATGTAATTTTTTTTGAGTCAAGAGGGTTGTGGTGGTAGAAACTGTAAAGCACATTCGCTGTGTATCAATCCCAATCCAGTCTTCCCAGAGAAGATTCTAAACACCTCCTGGAATGCACCTGGGCCTATACCAATTCCTATCACTCACCGTCACTCCAGGGAGACAGAACACACAGAGAACACATTACACAGGCAGGTTCATTACTAACAGATAAGCAGCGAGTGACAACAGAAACCTACATTTCAATGTGAGCCAGTCCCTCAAGGCTCAGAAAAGCTGCTCGAGACATGTGGAGTCACCCCATATGCAGTGTATCTGGGGGAAATCAAAAAGCAGCCCAGCCTGGGTTTTGTACCCTGGAGCCACAGGAAGCACTCAGCTAAAGCACTGCATGACGTCCTCCTCCAGGAAGAACAGGAAGACAGCCCAGGCTGTTCTGGGATGTTCCTCCTGATCTCAGGACGTTGCTGTCTTAGTCCATTTTTGTTGCTCTAAAGGAACACTTGAGCCTGGGTAACTTCTAAAGAAAAGAAATGTGTTTGCCTCACAGTTCTGCAGGCTGTACTGGAAGCATGGCACCAGCATCTATTTCTTGTGACGGCCTCAGGCTGCTCCCACTCTGGCAGAAGGGAAGGAGGGTCTGTCTGTGCAGAGACCACAGAGATCACACGGCAAGAGAGGGACCAAGGGGGAGGGGGAGCGATGGAGCTTCCAAGCTCTTTTAACAACCAGTTCTCCAGGAACTAATAGAGGGGGAACTTGCTAACCCCGTCTCCTTGGAACAGCATTGATCTGTTCATGATGGATCCACCTCCATGACCCAAACAACTCCCAAGAGGCCCAACCTCCCACCCTGGGGGTTACATTTCAATGTGAGGTTTGAAGGGGTCAAACATCTAAACTAAAGCAGTTGTATCCTCAGCACGTTCTATGGTTACTACAACTGAGAAAGCAGGAGGAAGCTAGGTCTCCCGCCATCTGGGTGCTTGTCCTAAAGAGACGTTGTATGTGGTTACCTGTCAATCAAGAAATGTGAGACAATTCATATAGAGGAACTGCTATGATTAGCTTCTTATTGGTGTCTTGTCTTCCTCCAGGTAACTCCAGACACCTGCACGTTCTGATTGGGACCTCAGTGGTCATCATCCCCTTTGCTATCCTCCTCTTCTTTCTCCTTCATCGCTGGTGTGCCAACAAAAAGAGTAAGTCTCACGAAGCAGAAGCCAGAGAGCTCAGGGCCATGTGGGGAAGCAGGATGGGAGCACTCAGGTGTGTGTTCCTCACAGGCAGGATGGTCCCTGGCCCAAGGCAGGAGCCACAGAGGCAGGACTTTCTAGAGAGAGCACCAGACTCCCTGCCTCTGCCTTCAGCTCACAGACCATTGCCTGATTCTGAACCGTATCCTCACATCCCCTGCAGCCACTCACATCCAGGAGAAGGTTCCATGACAGGCAGAAAGTGGGACACAGAATCAATAGGATGGGAACTCAGAGCTATACATGGGATGGATCCTTGAGCTCAGAGAGATAGAATGTCTGAGTCTGCTGTTGGCAACTGAGGGACCTCAGGCACCTATGGCCTCCCCCTGTATGTTGGTATCTGCTTATGAAATGAGGACCCAGAAGTGCCCTCCGAGCTGTTTTGACGACTTCCGTCTTCTACAGATGCTGTTGTAATGGACCAAGAGCCTGCAGGGAACAGAACAGTGAACAGGGAGGTAGGTGCTCCTCCGCCCAGCCTCGTGGCTAGTCTTATTCCCAAAGAGTCCTGGAAAATGTGAGCACCCTCCCTCACTCAGCATTTCCCTCCCTCCAGGACTCTGATGAACAAGACCCTCAGGAGGTGACATACGCACAGTTGAATCACTGCGTTTTCACACAGAGAAAAATCACTCGCCCTTCTCAGAGGCCCAAGACACCCCCAACAGATACCAGCGTGTAACACGGAACTTCCAAATGCTGAGCGCAGATCCAAAGTTGTCTTCTGTCCACTAGCACCACAGTCAGGCCTTGATGGGATCTTCTAGGGAGACAATAGCCCTGTCTCAAAACCGGGTTGCCAGCTCCCATGTACCAGCAGCTGGACTCTGAAGGCGTGAGTCTGCATCTTAGGGCATCGCTCTTCCTCACACCACGAATCTGAACATGCCTCTCTCTTGCTTACAAATGTCTAAGGTCCCCACTGCCTGCTGGAGAGAAAACACACTTGCTTAGCCCACAATTCTCCATTTCACTTGACCCCTGCCCACCTCTCCAACCTAACTGGCTTACTTCCTAGTCTACTTGAGGCTGCGATCACACTGAGGAACTCACAATTCCAAACATATAAGAGGCTCCCTCTTAACACGGCACTTAGATACGTGCTATTCCACCTTTCCTCAGAGTATCTTTCAGCCTTCTGTCAGCAGTAAAACTTATAAATTTTTTTTATAATTTCAATGTAGTTTTCTCTTCTTCAAGTAAACATGTCTGCCCTCATGGTTTCGTCAATGGGACTCTTTTCTTGCCTAAGGCTTCCGGTGTTATCATTACCACGTCCACATAACCCCATCTGTTCTCCGCTGGGTTCTCACCCCTGGACTCTGAGCTTCTGGAAGCAGGGTGGAGCCTGAATTGTCTCTGAGACTCCAATTTCCATCCAAAGATGCAGCACATAGGAGGTTCCAAGGATGGTGAATCAGATGAACAAGTGATATTCTTACTCTCTGCAGATCTGGAAAGCTGGCAGAGTCATTCCACGATGAAACATTTGTAGAGTCATAGGCCTTGTTAGTCTCATCTCCACAGGGACACGTATCAACACATCATCTTTCATACTACTATAAATAGACAGTCACTCCTCCATATCTCTGGGGTTTACACATGTTTATTGAATCAGCAATAAATCAAAAATATTTTGAGAAAAAAAATCCCCGAAGTTTCAAAAAGCAAAAAACTATGTTGAATCGACACAAATTGAGTGGCGTGTAGGCTGTGTCAGGAATTATAAGTAATCAAGAGATGATTTCATGTATACAGGAGGATGTGCATGGGTTCTATGCAATTGCTATGCTATTTTTTTTTTTTTTTGAGACAGTCTCACTCTCTCACCCAGGCTGGAGTGCAGTGGCGTGATCTCAACTCACTGCAACCTCCGCCTTCCAGGTTCAAGCGATTCTCTTCCCTCAGCCTCCCCAGTAGCCTCCCCTAGGATTACAGGCACGTGCCACCCTGCACAGATAAATTTTTTTGTGTGTATATTTTTAGTAGAGATGGGGTTTCAGAATGTTGGACCAGCTGGTCTTGAACTCCTGACCTTGTGATCTACCCAGCTCAGCCTCCCAAAGTGCTGGGATTACAGGCGTGAGCCACGGTGCCCAGCTTCACTATGCCATTTCATGCAAGGGGCTTGAGCATCTGCAGATTTTGGTATCTGAATGGGGATCCTGGAACCAATCACCCAGGTATAGTGAAGGACCATGGTATATAATTTTTATTTGTCAATCTTAAAAATAAAGCATAAAAAATTTACAACAACAAGATAAAAAATAAGAAGTGTTTTTATAGTGTGAGGATAAGTTTAGATTTATTTTTTCCTACGTGTAACCCTATGGTCCTGTGTTATTTGTTGAGAAAATATTCTATTCCACCTTAAACTACATGGCAGCCTTTGTCAACTATAAAGGGACTGTGTATCCACAGATGTATTTTAGACACAGTTTTCTGTCCAGTGGTTCTCTGTATCCCCTCTCATGAGGATGCTGCATTTTATATAAACTTATAGAACCCCTTAAAATTTGGTAACCTGAGTCCTCTGATTTGTTATTATAGGTTATTTAGTTTGCTTTTTTTTTTTTTCTTGAGACAGACTCTTCCTCTGTCACCCAAGCTGGAGTTCAGTGGCTTGAGCTCAGCTCACTGCAACCTCCGTCTCCCAGGTTCAAGCTATTCTGATGCCTCTGGTTTAGTAGTAGAAACTCAAGCAGGAAAATTAGAATGGCTTCTTGTCACAATTACTCTGATAATGTTAATAATACCTGTTAGACATTTTGCACATTACATATGAAGAAGAGTTTGAATCTCAGATAAAAACAAAAATACATCAAAAATCTTTAATGTAAGCACAGAATTCAATCATCTCGTGTATGAGAGGTTGGATCTGAGACGTCTTTTGAGTCTGGTCGTAGTGAAGGACGCAAGGTGTCAATTCTAGTGAGAACAATTTCCAGGAAGCCATGTTCCGCTCTTGAGCGAGCACCCACTGGGCCTCATGCAAGGTAGAAAGAGCCTGCATACGTCACCCTCCCATGATGTGGTCAACATGTAAACTGCATGGGCAGGGCGCCAAATAACATCCTGTGCGCTGCTGAGCTGAGCTGGGGCGCGGCCGCCTGTCTGCACAGACAGCACCATGTCGCTCATGGTCGTCAGCATGGTGTGTGTTGGTGAGTCCTGGAAGGGCATCGAGGGAGGGAGTGCGGGGATGGAGATCGGGGCCCAGAGTTGGAGATATAGGCCTGGAAGTGGAGTTATGGGCCTAGAGATGGAGTGATGGGCCTAGAAGTGGAGATCTGGGCCTGGAGTGGAGATCTGGGCCTGGAGTGGAGATATGGGCCTGGAGGTTGAGATATGGGCCTGCAGTAGAGATATGGGCTTGTAGTGGAGACATGGGCCTGGAGATGGAGATATGGGCCTGGAGATGGAGATATGGGCCTGCAGTAGAGATAGGGGCCTGGAGTGGAGATATGGGCCTGGAGTGGAGATATGGGCCTGGAGGTGGAGATATGGGCCTGGAGGTGGAGATATGGGCCTGGAGTGGAGATATGGGTCTGGAGGTGGAGATACGGGCCTGCAGTAGAGATATGGGCCTGGAGTGGAGATATGGGCCAGGAGTGGAGTTATGGGCCTAGAGATGGATATCTGGGCCTGGAGTGGAGATATGGGCCTAGGAAGGAGATATGGGCCTGGGTGTGGAGATATGGGACTGGAGAGGTGATATGGGCCTGGAGTGGAGATATGGGCTTAGGGTGGAGATCTGGGCCTGGGGCGGAGATATGGGACTGGATTGGAGATAGGGGCCTAGGGTGGAGATCTGAGCCTGGATTGGCGATATGGGCCTAGGGTGGAAATATCAGCCTGGAGTGGAGATATGGGCTTGGGGTGGGGATATGGGCCTGGAAACTGGGTCTCTGCACAGCCGACAGCCCTGTTCTTGGGTGCAGGTAGGCACTGAGGGTGAGTTTAACTTCAGCCCAGGAAGGGCCTGGCTGCCAAGACTCACAGCCCAGTGGGGGCAGCAAGGGAGGCCTGGTTTGCCTGCAGATGGATGGTCCATCATGATCTTTCTTTCCAGGGTTCTTCTTGCTGCAGGGGGCCTGGCCACATGAGGGTGAGTCCTTCTCCAAACCTTCGGGTGTCATCTCCCCACATAAGAGGATTTTCCTGAAACAGGAGGGAAGTCCTGTCGGGGAGTCTCTCATAAACTAGGAAGAGAGGACCCTGGGGTGCTCAGCCCACATTTCTGACCTCGCCTCCCTGGCCTCTCAACCCCTTGGCAGAGTCAAGTTCTGTGGGGACCAGGGTTAGACTGGGGTGCTCAAAGCTGGGGTGTGTGGTTGGGAAGTGGTAGGAACAGCAGATCCTCTGAGGACAAAGGTGTTACTCACACACTTCAGCGTTTCCATGATGGTAGGGGCTGCAGTGTGGCTGCTGTCATTCTACCAGAAGAGGTGGGAAACCACAGCCATGGCCCTGACATTCCAAATCCTCTGATGGGGGCTCAGTTGTTTATTTTCGTTCAGGCATCCGCTGATATCCATTCACAAAGGACATGCCCTCCACCTCATGTCTACCCTGTGTTGTTTTATGTGAGTAATCTTACAGTATTAAAATCTAGTAGGAGTCTCTTTACTCAGCACTTGCTCAAAGTTCTCAGCTGAGGCTTTTGTTGTAGGGAGACACCATGTCTTTGCGGGATGGGTCCTTCCTTCAGCCCTGGGCACCAAGGTGTGATAGTAGCCATAGAAACGTGGAAAGCGAGGAGAATCTTCTGAGCACAGGGAGGGAAGGGCAGTTCCACATCCTCCTCTCTAAGGCGGCGCCTCCTTCTCCCCAAGGTGGTCAGGACAAGCCCTTGCTGTCTGCCTGGCCCAGCCTTGTGGTGCCTCTAGGACATGTCATTCTTCGGTGTCACTCTTATCTTGGGTTTAACAACTTCAGTCTGTAAAAGGAAGGTGGGGTGCCTGTCCCTGAGCTCTACAACAGAATATTCTGGAACAGCCTTTTCATGGGCCCTGTGACCCCCGCACACACAGGGACATACAGATGTCGGGGTTCACACACACACTCCCCCAGTGGGTGGTCAGCACCCAGCAACCCCCTGGTGATCGTGGTCATAGGTCAGAGGGCTCCTGTCTTGGATTCTCCTTGTCCCACCTCCTGAATCCCAGAGCTTCTGTTGGGCATGTCCTTGAGGGTCCCATCACGCAGGCCCTGACTGTATTTGTGGTAAAGGGGGATTGAATACAGGGAAATGGGTGCTGTGGTGGGAAGAATAATTGTCCCCAGTGATGACTACATTCTAATCCCTGGAGTCTGTGACTATTTATGTTATAGGGGAAGGGACTGAAGGGGAAGATGGAGCTCATGGGGAGACAGCCTGGACTGTCCCACTGGGCTCAGTGTAATCACAAGGGTGCACATGAAAGGAGGAGGAAGAGGGGAGTGGGGATTAGAGCAGTCCAGTGGAAGTCTTCACCAGCTTTGAAGGTGGAGGAAGGCCAAGATCCATGAATGCAGGTGGCCTATAGAGGCTGGAAAAGTCAAGGAACTGATTCTCCAGAGTCTCCAGAGGGAACAAAGCCCTGCAGATGCCTTGATTTTAGCCCAGGAAAAATAGGGTCCAATTTCTGTCTCCAGTACTGGAAGGTGTCAGTGTGGTCTCTCCTGCTGCCATGCTTCTGATAATTTTCTACAGCAGCAACAGGAAACCAACACTGGAACCCAGGTCAAGGACAAGTTAAGAAACAACCCAAGGAAAGCCAGGCATGGTGGCAGGTGCATGTAATCCTAGCGACTCAGGAGGCTGAGGGCAGGAGAATCACTTGAACCCAGGAGACAGAGGTTGCAGTGAGCCTAGACCACACCACTTCACTCCAGCCTGGGTGAAGGAGTGAGACTCTGTCTCCATAATTAATTAATTAATTAAAGAAACCAAACAAGGAGAAGGTTGGCTACCCTGAGATCAGCAAGGGTGGGATGATGATGCCACCACCAGGCTCCATCCACATAGGGAGGGGTTGATACTCCTCCAACCAGCACCAGGAGCCAGCCTATGGAAGCTGGCACCATGGAGAAGGCACAGGCATGGCAAGAGTGGCTCCCAGTCCCCACCAGGAACAGGGTGTGTGGACACTGGTGCCTGCCTTATTCATCAGTTCATACCTTCTGCCAAGGATTGCAATTCATCCAAAAGAGATTGAACCAGGCTGATAAGAGCCTGGATGTGCAGCCTATCCTGGTTCCTCTTTCACCCCCACATAAACAGCAGGAAATACATTAGTGTGAAATAGATACAACACCCCAAGAGATGAGGCTCAGCCCAGTGGGAAGGGAATCAGAGGCTACTAGAGACAGAGGGACAGAGAAGAGGGAGGGAGACAGATGGAAGGACCTGCACCAGGAGTTAAGGGCACAGAAAAGAACATGAAGACACAGAGAGGAAGGAGAGAGACAGACACCAGCAAGGGGAAGCCTCACTCATTCTAGGTGCCATGGATGGGATGATAAAGAGAGACACCTTCTAAACTCACAACCTCTCTTCCTAGGAGTCCACAGAAAACCTTCCCTCCTGGCCCACCCAGGTCCCCTGGTGAAATCAGAAGAGACAGTCATCCTGCAATGTTGGTCAGATGTCAGGTTTCAGCACTTCCTTCTGCACAGAGAAGGGAAGTTTAAGGACACTTTGCACCTCATTGGAGAGCACCATGATGGGGTCTCCAAGGCCAACTTCTCCATCGGTCCCATGATGCAAGACCTTGCAGGGACCTACAGATGCTACGGTTCTGTTACTCACTCCCCCTATCAGTTGTCAGCTCCCAGTGACCCTCTGGACATCGTCATCACAGGTGAGAGTGTCCGGACATTCTCATTGTCATTGGGATGCAGAGTGAATGATCCACGACTTGGAACCCCCAGGTAGTTGTAAGGAAGATGAGCTTGGTATTCTTATGGAGAGAGACTGACTTGCTGAGGTTTGTACCAACAGAGACAGAGAAACAGGAGACACAAGTACAGACCAGGTGTCATAACAGAGGACAGACACAGGGGCCATACAGGGAGTTAGAAAAGACAGAAAGAGTTAAAAGAGACAGACAGACAGACATGTCCCAGAGAGAGGTGTCCCTCCATGCTGACTTTGCTCACAGACCTGGCACAGGTTAGAAGTTTCATTTCTGTTTTACCTCCACAAAGTGTTCTCTACCAGGAGAACCCAAGGACACCCATATTTATGACCTGAGTTGGGCCCTGTGGCCTCAGGCCTTGTGGCACCTACAGGCCATGTTTATTCTGACACCTCTGCCTTCCATGTAATGGAGAGTAATCGTCCCAGGATATCATGGCCCCAGAACACCAACCCCTGTATGCTGTGTGAACTTGTGGTCTCCAGACTGGATTCTGTGGCTCACATTCCAAATAACCCCACATATGAAAGGATCACTGAGAGGCACAGAGAAAAATCAGGAACACCAAAAAGCAAAGACATAAACACACAGAGAATGAGCCAGAGGAAGGAGATTGAGAGACTCACAGACACATAAAGAGAGAGAAAAGAGGGCAGAGGAGTGGTGAGAATGATGGCAGGGAGCAGAGAAAAGCACTAAAATTAGAGTCCTGAGAGAGAGGCACAAGGACATAGAAAGATGGAGATGTGGGGATGAATTGCAGAGATTCCAAAGAGAACTAGAGAGACCGAGAGGCAGAGCAAGACAGATGATAGATGGATAGATATAGATAGATGATAAATAGGTAGATGATAGATAATAGGTTAAAGATACATAGATGATGATTGATTGATTCATTAATAGATAATACATAGAGATGATGATGATGAAGACAGATAATACGTACAGATAGAGAGGCAGACAGAAATCATAGAGAGAGAGATGATACATACATATAAATAACAGATGATTGATGGATAGATAGACAAGTGATAGATACATAGATGATATATAGATATAGATGACAGGTAGAGAATTTGTAGATAGGCACCGAATAGATAAATAGATAGATCGACAGATAATAGATAGAAATATGCAGAAAGTTATGAACAGGACACAACGTGAGAAACTTAGAATTTAAAAAAGTAACATCAAGTCAACCAATCCAAGGAGAGTCAGAGAGAATAAAAGAATCCAAAAAGGGAAAACATATCTAGAGGTGGGGAAGCGAGGTCAGAGACCTAGAGAGACAGAGAAGGTGGAAGAAGGAAATAGACATGAAGAGAGATGGGGTGGAGGGTGAGAGAGAGAGAGAGAGAGAGCATTAGGTCATAGAGCAGGGGAGTGAGTTCTCAGCTCAGGTGAAGGGAGCTGTGACAAGGAAGATCCTCCGTAAGGAAAATGCCTCTTCTCCTCCAGGTCTATATGAGAAACCTTCTCTCTCAGCCCAGCCGGGCCCCACGGTTCTGGCAGGAGAGAGCGTGACCTTGTCCTGCAGCTCCCGGAGCTCCTATGACATGTACCATCTATCCAGGGAGGGGGAGGCCCATGAACGTAGGTTCTCTGCAGGGCCCAAGGTCAACGGAACATTCCAGGCCGACTTTCCTCTGGGCCCTGCCACCCACGGAGGAACCTACAGATGCTTCGGCTCTTTCCGTGACTCTCCATACGAGTGGTCAAACTCGAGTGACCCACTGCTTGTTTCTGTCACAGGTGAGGAAACCCCATATCTGTCTCATGTCCTATGATCCTAGAGCCTTAGCTGAGGAGCTTCCTGCTGATGATGGAGAGAAGCATGGACAGATGCAGAGAGAAGACGAAGCTTGGGTGTGAGGGAGGGATCAGGGCACAGGATGGCAGACAGGGCACCTCCAAACCCTCCTACACGGCCTGCATGAAGGCCCGCGGCCAGGGCTCCAGGCACACAGGCAGATGGAGAAAACGGTCAGGAGAGACCCAGAGGAGAGAGACTGGGCTCAGTTTGGGAAGATCAGAGGTTCCCTCAGCCCCTCAACATTACCCATTTCCCAGAAGCCCATCCTGGCCTCTCACCCACACAGGGATGTCATCACCAGCAACCCCTACACCCTTTACTTTTGTTTGAAGAAATATTTATTGAGGATAAATATACCTATATAGCTTACCACCTTTAACATTTTTTTTTTTTTTGAGGCAGAGTCTAGCTCTGTCCCCTATGCTGGAGTGCAGTGGCACAATCTCAGCTCACTGCAACTTCCGCCTCCTGGGTTCAAGTGATTCTCCTGCTTCAGCCACCTGAGTAGCTGGTGCTACAGGCGCGCACCACCACGCCAGGCTACTTTTTGTATTTTTAGTAGAGAGGGGGTTTCACCATGTTGGTCGAGCTGGTCTCCAACTCCTGACCACGTGATCCACCCGCATCTGCCTCCCAAAGTGCTGGGATTACAGGCATGAGCCACCACGCCCAGCCACATTTACCATTTTTAAGTGTAAAGTCTAGTGGTCATAAATACATTTATATATATATATATATATATATATATACACACACACACACATATATAAACATATATATATATATATATATATATATATATATATTTTTTTTTTTTTTTTTTTTTACCCTCCACCCTTTTATTCCTGGCCTCTGGAAGCCACCATTCTACTCTCTACCTTCATGAGATCCACCTTTTAGCTCTGTATATGGGTGAGAAATGGGAATCTTTGTAATGACTTCCAGTTCCATCCATGTGGCTGCAAATATCAGGATGTTATTCTTTCTATGGATGAGTAGTCTCCACTGTGCGTATGTACTACATTCTCTCTATCCATTCATCCACTGATGGGCAGGTAGGTTGACTCCACATCTTGGCTACTGTGAACAGTGCTGCACCAATCATACGAGTGCAGATATCACTTCGATATATTGATTTACTTTCCTTTGGATATAAACCCAGTAGTGAAATTGCTGGATACTATGAAAGTTCTCTTTTTAGTTATTCGTTTGTTGTTTTGTTTTTGTTTTTGAGACAGTTTCCCTCTGTGCCCAGGCTGGAGTACAAGTGAAGTCATCTTGGCTCATTGCAACCTCCGCCTCCTGGGTTCAAATGATTTTCCTGCCTCAGCCTCCCTAGTAGCTGGGATTACAGGTGCACGCCACCATGCCTGGCTACTTTTTGTTTTTTTTAGTATAGATGGGGTTTCCCCATGTTGGCTGGGCTGCTCTCAAACTCATGACCTCAACTGAGGTGCCCGCCTCGGTCTCCCAAAGTGCCGGGATTACAGGCATGATCCACCTCACCCAACCTCTTTTTAGTTCTTTAAAGGACTTCCACACTTTTCTCCGTAAAGGCTGTACTAATTTACACTCCTACCAACAGGGTATTAGGGTTCTCCTTTCTCTACCACTTTGGCAGGATTTCCTTTGCCTGTCTTGCAGCTAAAAGCCATTTTATTTTATTTCATTTTATTTTGAGATGGAGTTTCGCTCTTGTCACCCAGGCTGGAGTGCAGTGGTGCGATCTCGGCTCACCACAACCTCCACCTCCCAGGTTCAAGCGATTCTCCTGCCTCAGCCTCCCGAGTAGCTGGAATTACAGGCACACGCCACCACGCCCAACTAAATTTTGTATTTTTAGTAGAGACAGTGTTTCTTCATGTGGGTCAGACTGGTCTCAAACTCCCGACCTTATGAGGTTCACCCACCTCAGGCTCTCAAAGGTCTAGGATGACAGACGTGAGCCACCACGCCCGGCCTAAAATCCATTTTAATGGGGTGAGATGAAAACTCACTTTGATTTTAATTTGTGTTTCTCTGATGATGAGTGAAACTGAGCACTTTTTAGTATGTGGGGAAATTTCATGTGTTTTGCTCCTTTTTCAATTAAATCGTTTGTTTTATTGAGTTGTTTGAGCTTCTTATATTTCTAGTTATTAATCCCATCTCAGATGCATAGTTTGCACATATTTGCTCCCAATCTGTGGGTTGTCTCTTCACTTTGTTGGTTTATTTTTAGCGGTGCAGAAGTTGCTTAGTTTGAGGTAATCCCAATGGTCTATTTTTGCTTCGATTACTTGTGTTTTGAAGGTTTAAAACAAAATGTCTTCCTTCAGACAAATGTCCTGGAGCATTTCCCCAATATTTTCTTCTACGTGTTTCATAGGTTCAGGCCTTAGACTCACATCTTTAATCCATTTTCATTTGAGTTTTGTGTATAGTGACAGGTAGAGGTGCAGTTTCATTCCTCTGCATGTAGATGTCCAGGTTTCCCTGCACTGTTTATTGAAAAGACTGTCCTTTCCTGATTGTGAGTTCTTGGCACCTTTGTCAAAGTCCATTGGATGGGCTGGGCATGGTGGCTGACACCTGCAATTTCAGCACTTTGGGAGCCCAAGGCGGGTGGATCACCTGAGGCCAGGAGTTCAAGATTAGTCTGGCCGACGTGATGAAACATTGTCTCCACTAAAAATATAAAAATTAGCTGAGCATGGTGGTCAGCACCTGTAATACCACTACTCAGGAGTTTGAGGCCAGAGAATTGATTGAACCCAGGAGGCTGTGGTGGCAGTGAACCGAGATTGCACCTCTGCACTCCAGCCTGGGTGACAGAGCGAGACTCCATCTCAAAAGAAAAAAGAAAAAAACATTGGAGGTAAATGCATGGATTATATCTGTGTTCTTCATTCTGCTCCATTGTTCTACGTGCCTTTCTTTATGCCAATGTGATGCTGTTTTGCTTACTACAGCTCTGTAACATATTTTGAGATCAGGTAGTGTGATGCTCCTGTTTTCTCTTTATACCTTGAAGTCTCAAGACAGTGGGCGTCACATACAAAAATTACGGAAAAAAGGATCCCAGGACTCCCAGGGCCCAATATTAGATAACAGAGTGTTGGCCATGAACCAACCTCAAAGATTTCCATTGAGTAGAGGACAGACACCCTCATTTCCTCACCTCTCTCCTGTCTCGTGTTCTAGGAAACCCTTCAAATAGTTGGCCTTCACCCACTGAACCAAGCTCCGAAACCGGTGAGTACAGAACCCTCTTATATCCGCTTTTGGAAACCTGGGGAGGTAGAAACCTTCGATGCAGGCATTGACTCAGCATCTCGCAGCTCTGACATTGTACGCCTGTCTTCTACCATCTCCGAACTCCAGATACTCCAACAGCGAAAGGGATCTGGGCCCAACCTAGGGCTCAGTGAAATCTCTTAATCTCTCATTTTATGGAGCTGAGACCTCCTACAAGCTAGAAGAATGATTGCCAATCTGACATCCTTCTCAGGAAAAATGCAATGTTTGTTCTGCCTGCATTCCTAACTGGAGGATAAATTCCTGGGGGCTTGAGAGAGGGAAGGGAAGGGAACATCTGATGAGGGCGAGGTGTTTTAGAGAAGTTCCACTTGCCAAGGAATGAATTACTGTTGGTCATGAAGCAACCCTGGCTGACTCAGCAGAGCAACAGCCTTGCCGTAACAGAGAACGGAGCTCATGCACGCACACTTCGACTCACTGACTCATTCAGCCACGGCCCCATGCTCAGGCTGTGCAGTGCGGAACCTTTTCCTATTGTTGCCATAACAAATTTCCACAAGATTCGTGGGTGAAAACAAAACGGTTTTTTAATTATCTTACAGTGCTGTAGCTCAAAGTAGGAAGTGCATCTTACTGGGCTAAAATCAAGGTGACAGCAAGGCTGCCTTCCCTCTGAGGATTCCAGGCAAGAATCTGCTTCTCACTTATCCCAGCTTCTAAAGGCTCCCAGTTCCTTGGCTCCTGTTCCCCTTCCTCCTTCCTCAAAGCCCACAAAGACTGGTCACATCTCACATGGCATCACTCAGTGCCTTCTTCCTTACCACACCTCTTTCTCTGAATGCTGCTCTCCCTTCTTCCTTATCTTTTGAAAACTTGGGGATTCTATTGGGTTCACCAAGATGAAAATCCCTCATAATCTCCTGGAAATCATCCAGGATACCCTTGTTTTAAGTTCAGCTGATTAGCAACCGCAATTCCATCTACAATCTTCATTCCTCCTTTCCATGTAAAATAACATATTCACAAGCTATGGAGGCTAGGACAGGGACATTTTGGGGTGGGACAGCATTCTCCTGCCTTCCACAAACGGTGAACAAGATGCATTTGGCTTCTGCCCTTGGGACACTGATATTGCAGATGGTTAAATGGGAGGGCAGAAAATGAATGCACAAGTGGATCTATAAATGAATGATCCATTGGGAAGCATCTGTGCATGAAATCTATTTTTTGTTTGTTCTTTTGTTTATTGAGACAGAGTCGCCCTCTGTCTTCCAGGCTACAGTGCAGTGTCACGATCTTGGCTCACTGCAACCTGCGTCTCCTGGATTCAAGTGATTCTCCTGCCTCCGCCTCTCGAGTAGCTGGGATTACAGGCAACTGCCACCGTGCCCGGCTAATTCTTTTTGTATATTTTTTGTAGAGAGGATGTTTCACCACGTTGGCCAAGCTTGTCTGAAACTCCCAACCTCAAGTGATCCGACCGTCTCAGCATGCCAAAGTAATGGGACTACAGGCGTGAGCCACTGTGCCCAGCCAGAATTCAAAATCAATAATAGATAATGCTGAGTGTATGATTTCAGGTGACAAAGAAGGTCTCACTATTCAGATATTTGTGACATTAATGAAAAACACGGATTGAACCCCTGAAAGATTGGCGGAAGGATTTTGCACACACAGCTGTCAGCCGTGAAGGCACAAAGGTGAAAACAATCTGATGTGGAAGGAAGAGGCTCTGCCTCAAATGCTGGGAATGATGTGGGGAGAATGACAAGACGACTGTAGAGAGACGGAGAGCACACTGGGTACACAGGAAACTAAGGAGCAACAAGGAGTGTGTGTTTGACACTCACAGCCATTGGATTCACCTCGGGGTAACCAGGAATCCCTACATGATTAATATGACTGACATGAAAATAAGGGAGGCTCAGTTGCATAACTGGAATCTAGGAGACCGTGGAAAAGGCAATTGCCACCCCACTGGTGAAATGTGGTGCTGATTTAGACACTAAATGAATGAAGTAGATGGATATAAGATATGTTTGTGAGGTAGAATCATTGACTGGAAACGCTTACTGGGTTTGATTTTCCTACTTGTTTAATCCTCGCTTAATTAATTTCTTTCTGAGATTTATTCATCCTACACATAAATCAATACCTGGCAAAGGAGTGACAGATATATGAGTGGTGGTGGAAATGAAGAGACTTATTATAGCATAATATACAAGTCTGTGAACAGTGGCTCACGCCTGTAACCTAGCACTGCAGGAGGCCAAGGTGGGTGGATTCCATGAAGTCAGGAGTTCCAGACCAGCCTGGCCAACGTGGTGAAACCCTATCTCTACTAAAAATACAAAAATTAGCCGAGCACGATGGTGCATCCCTGTAATCCCAGCTCCTATTCTGGAGGATGAAGCAGGAGAATGACTTCAACCCAGTAGGTGGAGGTTGCAGTGAGTGGAGATTGCATCACTGCACTCCAGCCTGGGGGACACAAGGAGACTCTATCTCAAAAAATAAAAATAAGAAATACATAAATATAATAAAACACACACGAATGACAAAGGCACCTGAATTCCAATCATCGTTTTTCTATTTCTCTATAATTACTTCTTTGATCCTTTATCTTATCCATTAGGCAATGAGCTTAAAACCTCTTCCCTATTTGGCTTTCTGTGAGAATGAGATCACATAGAAAATGTGAAAGCCCTCAGAATCCTCCAGCACAGATCGTGGAATAGAGAAAGTGCTCTGTTCATCGCAACAAAAAACTTGCCCACTCACCCAAATCCCCCACCTCACCCCTACTTCCAATCACCTGTGGAGATTCAGATAGGCTATGGGGAGGTAAACATTGATACTCCTTGGAGTGAGTCCAGATCTTGGAATCAGAGATCAGTGCCAGCACTAGCTCCTGCTCCCCTTTCCTACTAATTCACAGGAGGACAGGTGGTATTGAAGCAATAGATGGCCGAGGGGGTGGTCCTTCCCCCAGCCTCTCGGGTAGAACAGCAGCCTAACATGTGTCTCCCGAGATCACAAAGAGTAGCACGTTTCACACGGGCTTCAACACTATTTCCTGGCCATTTGACATAAGAGAATTCTACTTAGCTTTTTTTATCTTGATTTCACTTTTGTTTCCTTTTCTTGGAGAATGCAAGTTGTTTGATTCAAGAATGCTGTGGATGTAGAAATCCTAAAGCACATTCGCTGTGTATCAATCCCAGTGCAGTCTTCCCAGAGAAGACTCTAAATACCTCCTGGACTGCACCTGGGCTTATGCCAATTCCTATCACTCACCGTCACTCCAGGGAGACAGAACACACAGAGAATACATTACACAGGCAGGTTCATTACTAACAGATAAGCAGCGAGTGACAACAGAAACCTACATTTCAATGTGAGCCAGTCCCTCAAGGCTCAGAAAAGCTACTCGGGACATATGGAGTCACCCCATTTGCAGTGTAGCTGGGGGAAGCCAGAGAGCAGCCCAGCCTGGGTTTTGTACTGTGGAGCCACAGGAAGCACTCAGCTAAAGCACTGCATGACGTCCTCCTCCAGGAAGAACAGGAAGACAGCCCAGGCTGTTCTGAGACGTTCCTCCTGATCTCAGGACGTTGCTGTCTTAGTCCATTTTTGTTGCTCTAAAGGAACACTTGAGCCTGGGTAACTTCTAGAGAAAAGAGATTGGTTTGCCTCACAGTTCTGCAGGCTGTACTGGAAGCGTGGCACCAGCATCTATTTCTCGTGACGGCCTCAGGCTGCTCCCACTCTGGCAGAAGGGAAGGAGGGTCTGTCTGTGCAGAGACCACAGAGATCACACGGCAAGAGAGGGAGCAAGGGGGAGGGGGAGCGATGGAGCTTCCAAGCTCTTTTGAACAACCAGCTCTCCAGGAACTAATAGAAGGGGAACTTGCTAACCCCGTCTCCTGGGGACAGCATTGGTCTGTTCATGATGGATCCACCTCCATGACCCAAACACCTCTCAAGAGGCCCAACCTCCCACAGTGGGGGTGAAATTTCAATGTGAGGTTTGAAGGGGTCAAACATCTCAACTAAAGTAGTTGTATCCTCAACACGTTCTATGGTTACTATGAGAGCTATAACTGAGAAAGCAGGAGAAAGCTGGGTCTCCCTCCATCTGGGTGCTTGTCCTAAAGGGGTGTTGTATGTGGTTACCTGTCAATCAAGAAATGTGAGACAATTCATAAAGAGGAACTGCTATGATTAGCTTCTTATTGGTGTCTCCTCTTCTTCCAGGTAACCCCAGACACCTGCATGTTCTGATTGGGACCTCAGTGGTCATCATCCTCTTCATCCTCCTCCTCTTCTTTCTCCTTCATCGCTGGTGCTGCAACAAAAAAAGTAAGTCTCACGAAGCAGAGGCCAGAGAGCTCAGGGCCATGTGGGGAAGCAGGATGGGAGCACTCAGGTGTGTGTTCCTCACAGACAGGATGGTCCCTGGCCCAAGGCAGCAGCCACAGAGGGAGGACTTTCTAGAGAGAGCACCAGACTCCCTGTCCCTGCCTTCAGCTCACAGACCATTGCCTGATTCTGAACTGTATCCTCATGTCCCCTGCAGCCACTCACATCCAGGAGAAGGTTCCATGACAGGCAGAAAGTGGGAGACAGAATCAATGGGATGGGAACTCAGAGCTATTCATGGGATGGGTCCTTGAGCTCAGAGAGATAGAATGTCTGAGTCTGCTGTTGGCAACTGAGGGACCTCAGGCTCCTATGGTCTCCCCCTGTATGTTGGTATCTGCTTATGAAATGAGGGCCCAGAAGTGCCCTCTGAGCTGTTTTGTTGACTTCCGTCTTCTACAGATGCTGTTGTAATGGACCAAGAGCCTGCAGGGAACAGAACAGTGAACAGGGAGGTAGGTGCTCCTCGGCCCAGCCTCGTGGCTAGTGTTATTCCCAAAGAGTCCTGGAAAATGTGAGCACCCTCCCTCACTCAGCATTTCCCTCTCTCCAGGACTCTGATGAACAAGACCCTCAGGAGGTGACATATGCACAGTTGAATCACTGCGTTTTCACACAGAGAAAAATCACTCGCCCTTCTCAGAGGCCCAAGACACCCCCAACAGATATCATCGTGTACACGGAACTTCCAAATGCTGAGCCCTGATCCAAAGTTGTCTCCTGCCCATGAGCACCACAGTCAGGCCTTGAGGGGATCTTCTAGGGAGACAACAGCCCTGTCTCAAAACTGGGTTGCCAGCTCCAATGTACCAGCAGCTGGAATCTGAAGGCGTGAGTCTGCATCTTAGGGCATCGCTCTTCCTCACACCACAAATCTGAACGTGCCTCTCCCTTGCTTACAAATGTCTAAGGTCCCCACTGCCTGCTGGAGAGAAAACACACTCCTTTGCTTAGCCCACAATTCTCCATTTCACTTGACCCCTGCCCACCTCTCCAACCTAACTGGCTTACTTCCTAGTCTACTTGAGGCTGCAATCACACTGAGGAACTCACAATTCCAAACATACAAGAGGCTCCCTCTTAACACGGCACTTAGACACGTGCTGTTCCACCTTCCCTCATGCTGTTCCACCTCCCCTCAGAGTATCTTTCAGCCTTCTGTCAGCAGTAAAACTTATATATTTTTTAAAATAATTTCAATGTAGTTTTCCCTCCTTCAAATAAACATGTCTGCCCTCATGGTTTAGGTAATGGGACTCTTTTCTTGCCTAAGGCTTCCGGTGTTATCAGTACCATGTCCATATAATCCCATCTGTTCTCCACCGGGTTCTCACCTCTGGACTCTGAGCTTCTGGAAGCAGTGTGGAGCCTCATTTGTCTCTGGGACTCCAATTTCCATCCAAAGATGCAGCACATAGGAGGTTCCAAGGATCGGGAATCACATGAACAAGTGACATTGTTACTCTCTGCAGACCTGGAAAGCTGGCAGAGTCATTCCACGATGAAACATTTGTAGAGTCATAGGCCTTGTTAGTCTCATCTCCATGGGGACACATATCAACACATCATCTTTCATACTATAAATATACGGTCACTCCTCCGTATCTGTGGGGTTTACAGGTCTTTATTGAACAAAGTATAAATCAAAAATATTCAGAGAAAATATCCACAGAGTTCCAAAACTCATAACTATGTTGAATGGACACAAATGAAGCTGTGTGTAGGCTGTATCAGGAATTATAAGTAATCAAGAGATGATTTCATGTATACAGGAGGATGTGCATATGTTATTTGCAAGCGCTGTGCCATTTCATATAAGAGGCTTGAGCATCTACAGATTTTGGTATCTGAGTGGAGATCTCGAAACCAATCACCCACGAATAGTGAAGGATGACCGTATATGACTTTTATTTCTCAAATTTAAATATAAATCAAAAAATGTACAACTAGATAAAAACTAAGAAGTGTTTTTATAGTGTGAGTTAGATTTATTTTTTACTAGGTGTAACCCATTGGTTTAATATTATTTATTGAGAAGACATTCTATGCCACCTTAAACCACACGGCAGCCTTTGTCAACTCTAAAGGGACTGTGTGTACATGGATGTATTTTAGACAGTTTCTGCTAAGGGGCTGTCTGTGTCCACACACTTGATGATGCTACACTTTATGTAGCCTTATAGAACCCTTTAAATTTAGTAGCCAGAGCCCTCTAATTTGTTATTATAGGCTATTTGCTTTTTTTTTTCTTGAGGCGGAGTCTTGCTCTGTCGCCCAGGCTGGACTGCAGTGACACAATCTCAGCTCACTGCAACCTCCGCCTCCCAGGTTCAAGCGATTCTCGTGCCTCAGCCTCTTGAGTAGCTGGCGTTACAGGTGCCTGCCACCAGGCATGGCTAATTTTTGGATTTTTAGCAGAGACACGGTTTCACTATGTTGGCCAGGCTGCTCTCAATCCCCTCATCTCAGTTGATCCGCCCACCTCGGCTTCCCGACGTGCTGGGGAAACTTGATTTTCTATAGCATTATGTTACTGGATATTTCTGTAAAATTTAAAATGAGGGAGGCAGAGAGACAGAGAGAGATCAAACTCCAGAGTTGGGACTCTGGAATCTTGGGTCATGAGACAAATTTTAGATTAAACTACAAAACTCCAGAATTTACAGGTGTGGTTTTTGCTGATAAAGTACAATTCTAAGATTGTAAATAATTGCATAATCCTTCCCTGGGAATTTAAATCATTTTAACTGGTTCTGCTGTAATACTAGAAATACAAGCATGAAAAATTCTAATGGTTTATTAGTCACAATGACTCTGAAAACCTTAATAATACCTATTAAATATTTTGCATATTACACATGAAGAAGAGTTTGAATCTCAGATAAAAACAATAAAAATACATGAAAAGTCTTTCACGTTAGCACAGATTTTAGGCATCTCGTGTTCAGGAGGTTGGATCTGAGACGTGTTTTGAGTTGGTCATAGTGAAGGACGCTAGGTGTAAATTCTAGTGAGAACAATTTCCAGGAAGCCGTGTTCCGCTCTTGAGCGAGCACCCACTGGGCCTCATGCAAGGTAGAATGAGCCTGCGTACGTCACCCTCCCATGATGTGGTCAACATGTAAACTGCATGGGCAGGGCGCCAAATAACATCCTGTGCGCTGCTGAGCTGAGCTGGGGCACGGCCGCCTGTCTGCACCGGCAGCACCATGTCGCTCACGGTCGTCAGCATGGCGTGTGTTGGTGAGTCCTGGAAGGGAATAGAGGAAGGGAGTGTGGGGTTGGAGATCTGGGCCCAGAGGTGGAGATATAGGCCTGGAGGTGGAGTTGTGGGCCTGGAGTGGAGATCTGGGCCTGGAGTGGATATATGGGCCTAGAGATGGAGTGATGGGCCTAGAAGTGGAGATCTGGGCCTGGAGTGCCGATAGGAACCTGGAGGGGAGATAGGAGCCTGGAGTGGAGATATGGGCCTGGAGGTGGAGTTATAGGCCTATAGTAGAGATATGGGCCTGGAGTGGAGATTTGGGCCAGGAGTGGAGATATGGGCCTAGAGGTGGATATCTGGGCCTAGAGTGGAAATATGGGCCTAGGATGGAGATATGGGCCTGGTTGTGGAGATATGGGACTGGAGAGGAGATATGGGCCTAGAGTGGAGATATGGGCTTGGGGTGGAGATCTGGGCCTGGGGTGGAGATATGGGCCTGGAGGTGGAGTTACGGGCCTTCAGTAGAGATATGGGCCTGGGGTGGAGATATGGGCTTGGGGTGGAGATCTGGGCCTGGAGTGGAGATATGGGCCTGGAGGTGGAGTTACTGGCCTTCAGTAGAGATATGGGCCTGGTGTGGAGATATGGGCCTGGATTGGAGATATGGGCCTAGGTTGGAGATCTGAGCCTGGAGTGGAGATATGGGCCTGGATTGGAGATATGGGCTTACAGTGGAGATCTTGGCCTGGATTGGCGATATGGGCCTGGATTGGCGATATGGGCCTATGATGGAAATATCGGCCTGGAGTGGAGATATGGGCCTGGAGTGGAGATACAGGCCTAGGGTGGAAATATTGGCCTGGAGTGGAGATATGGGCTTGTGGTGGGGATATGGGCTTGTGGTGGGGATCTGGGCTTGGAGGCTGGGTCTCTGCACAGCCGACAGCCCTGTTCTTGGGTGCAGGTAGGCACTGAGGGTGAGTTTAACTTCAGTCCAGGAAGGGCCTGCCTACCAAGACTCACAGCCCAGTGAGGGCAGCAAGGGAGGGCTGGTTTGCCTGCAGATGGATCGTCCATCATGATCTTTCTTTCCAGGGTTCTTCTTGCTGCAGGGGGCCTGGCCACATGAGGGTGAGTCCTTCTCCAAACCTTAGGGTGTCATCTCCCCACATAAGAGGATTTTCCTGAAACAGGAGGGAAGTCCTGTCAGGGAGCCTCTCATAAACTAGGAAGAGGGGACCCTGGGGTGCTCGGCCCACAGTTCCGACCTCGCCTCCCTGGCCTTTCATTCCCTTGGCAGAGTCAAGTTCTGTGGGGACCAGGGTTAGACTGGGGTGCTCAAAGCTGGGGTGCGTGGTGGGGAAGTGGTAGGAACAGCAGATCCTCTGAGGACAAAGGTGTTACTCACACTTCAGCGTTTCCATGACGGTAGGGGCTGCAGTGTGGCTGCTGTCACTCCACCAGAAGAGGTGGGAAACCACAGCCATGGCCCTGACATTCCAAATCCTCTGATGGGGGCTCAGTTGCTTATTTTCATTCAGGCATCTGCTGATATTCCATTCTCAAAGACATGCCCTCCACCCCATGTCTACCCTGTGTTGTTTTATGTGAGTAATCTTACAGTATTAAAATCTAGTAGGAGTCTCTTACTCAGCACTTGCTCAAAGTTCTCAGCTGACACTTTTGTTGTAGGGAGACACCTTGTGTTTGCGGGATGGGTCCTTCCTTTAGCCCTGGGCACCAAGGTGTGATAGCAGCCATAGAAACTTGGAAAGCGAGGAGAATCTTCAGAGCACAGGGAGGGAGGGGTGGCTCCACATCCTCCTCTCTAAGGCGGTGCCTCCTTCTCCCCAAGGTGGTCAGGACAAGCCCTTGCTGTCTGCCTGGCCCAGCTCTGTGGTGCCTCCAGGACATGTGATTCTTCGGTGTCATTCTTATCTTGGGTTTAACAACTTCAGTCTGTAAAAGGAAGATGGGGTGCCTGGCACTGAGCTCTACAACAGAATATTCTGGAACAGCCTTTTCATGGGCCCTGTGACCCCAGCACACACAGGGACGTACAGATGTCGGGGTTCACACCCACACTACCCCAGTGGGTGGTCGGCACCCAGCAACACCCTGGTGATCATGGCCACAGGTCAGAGGGCTCCTGTCTTGGATTCTCCTTTCCCACCTCCTGAATCCCAGAGCTTCTGGTGGGCGTGTCCTTGAGGGTCCCATCACCCAGGCCCTGACTATATTTGGGGTAAAGGGGGATTGAATACAGGGAAATGGGTGCTGTGGTGGGAAGAATAATTGTCCCCAGTGATGACTACATTCTAATCCCTGGAGTCTGTGACTATTTATGTTATAGGGGAAGGAACTGAAGGGGAAGATGGAGCTCAGGTTGTTGATGAGTTGACCTTGAGATGGGGAGACAGCCTGGACTGTCCCGCTGGGCTCAGTGTAATCACAAGGGTCCACATGAAAGGAGGAGGAAGAGGGGAGTGGGGATTAGAGCAGCGCAATGGGAGACTCCACCAGCTTTGAAGGTGGAGGAAGGCCAGGAGCCATGAATGCAGGTGGCCTGTAGAGGTTGGAAAAGTCAAGGAAATGATTCTCCAGAGTCTCCAGAGGGAACGAAGCCCTGCAGATGCCTTGATTTTAGCCCAGGAAAAACAGGGTCCTATTTCTGTCTCCAGTAGTGAAATGGGTCAGTGTGCTCTCTCCTGCTGCCATGCTTCTGATAATTTTCTACAGCAGCAACAGGAAACCAACACTGGAACCCAGGTCAAGGACAAGGTAAGAAACAACACAAGGATAGCCGGGTGTGGTGGCAGGCGCATGTAATCCTAGCGACTTGGGAGGCTGAGGGCAGGAGAATCACTTGAACCCAGGAGACAGAGGTTGCAGTGACCCTAGACCACACCACTTCACTCCAGCTGGGGTGAAGGAGTGAGACTCTGTCTCCATAATTAATTAATTAATTAAAGGAACCAAACAAGGGGAAGGTTGGCTACACCGAGATGAGCAAGTGTGGGATGATGATGCCACCACCAGGCTCCATCCACATAGGGAGGGGTTGATACTCCTCAAACCAGCACCAGGAGCCAGCCTATGGAAGCTGGCACCATGGAGAAGGCACAGGCATGGCAAGAGTGGCTCCCAGTCCCGACCAGGAACAGGGTGTGTGGACACTGGTGCCTGCCTTATTCATCAGTTCATACCTACTGCCAAGGATTCCAATTCATCCAAAAGAGATTGAACCAGGCTGATAAGAGGCTGGATGTGCAGCCTATCCTGGTTCCTCTTTCACCCCCACATAAACAGCAGGAAAGACATTAGTGTGAAATAGATACAACACCCCAAGAGATGAGGCTAAGCCCAGTGGGAAGGGAATCAGAGGCGACTAGAGACAGAGGGACAGAGAAGAGGGAGGGAGACAGATGGAAGGACCTGCACCAGGAGTTATGGGCACAGAAAAGAACATGAAGACACAGAGAGGAAGGAGAGAGACAGACACCAGCAAGGGGAAGCCTCACTCATTCTAGGTGCCATGGATGGGATGATAAAGAGAGACACCTTCTAAACTCACAACCTCTCTTCCTAGGAGTCCACAGAAAACCTTCCCTCCTGGCCCACCCAGGTCCCCTGGTGAAATCAGAAGAGACAGTCATCCTGCAATGTTGGTCAGATGTCAGGTTTCAGCACTTCCTTCTGCACAGAGAAGGGAAGTTTAACGACACTTTGCACCTCACTGGAGAGCACCATGATGGGGTTTCCAAGGCCAACTTCTCCATCGGTCCCATGATGGAAGACCTGGCAGGGACCTACAGATGCTACGGTTCTGTTACTCACTCCCCCATCAGTTGTCAGCTCCCAGTGACCCTCTGGACATCGTCATCACAGGTGAGAGTGTCCGGACATTCTTCTCATTGTCATTGGGATGCAGAGTGAATGATCCACGACTTGGAACCCCCAGGTAGTTGTAAGGAAGATGAGCTTGGTATTCTTATGGAGAGAGACTGACTTGGTGAGGTCTGTACCAACAGAGACAGAGAAACAGGAGACACAAGTACAGACCAGGTGTCATAACAGAGGACAGACACAGGGGCCATACCGGGAGTTAGAAAAGACAGAAGGAGTTAAAGGAGACAGACAGACAGACATGTCCCAGAGAGAGGTGTCCCTCCATGCTGACTTTGCTCAGAGACCTGGCACAGGTTAGAAGTTTCATTTCTGTTTTACCTCCACAAAGTGTTCTCTACCAGGAGAACCCAAGGACACCCATATTTCTGACCTGAGTTGGGCCCTGTGGCCTCAGGCCTTGTGGCACCTACAGATGCCGTGTTTATTCTGACACCTCTGCCTTCCATGTAATGGAGAGTAACCGTCCCAGGATATCATGGCCCCAGAACACCAACTCCTGTATGCTGTGTGAACTTGTGGTCTCCAGACTGGATTCTGAGGCTCACATTCCAAATAACCCCACATATGAAAGGATCACTGAGAGGCACAGAGAGAAATCAGGGACACCAAAAAGCAAAGACATAAACACACAGAGAATGAGCCAGAGGAAGGAGATTGAGAGACTCACAGACACATAAAGAGAGAGAAAAGAGGGCAGAGGAGTGGTGAGAATGATGGAAGGGAGCAGAGAAAAGCACTAAAATTAGACTCCTGAGGGAGAGGCACAAGGACATAGAAAGATGGAGATGTGGGGATGAATTGCAGAGATTCCAAAGAGAACTAGAGAGACCGAGAGGCAGAGCAAGACAGATGATAGATGGATAGATATAGATAGATGATAAATAGGTAGATGATAGATAATAGGTTAAAGATACATAGATGATGATTGATTGATTCATTAATAGATGAGACATAGAGATGATGATGATGAAGACAGATAGATAATACATAGAGATAGAGAGGCAGACAGAAGTCATAGAGAGAGAGATGATACATAGATATAGATAACAGATGATTGATGGATAGATAGACAAGTGATAGATACATAGATGATATATAGATATAGATGACAGGTAGAGAATTTGTAGATAGGCACCGAATAGATAAATAGATAGATCGATAGATAATAGATAGAAATATGCAGAAAGTTATGAACAGGACACAAAGTGAGAAACTTAGAATTTAAAAAAGTAACATCAAGTCAACCAATCCAAGGAGAGTCAGAGAGAATAAAACAATCCAAAAAGGGAAAACATATCTAGAGGTGTGGAAGCGAGGTCAGAGACCTAGAGAGACAGAGAAGGTGGAAGGAGGAAATAGACATGAAGAGAGATGGGGTGGAGGGTGAGAGAGAGAGAGAGAGAGAGCATTAGGTCATAGAGCAGGGGAGTGAGTTCTCAGCTCAGGTGAAGGGAGCTGTGACAAGGAAGATCCTCCGTAAGGAAAATGCCTCTTCTCCTTCCAGGTCTATATGAGAAACCTTCTCTCTCAGCCCAGCCGGGCCCCACGGTTCTGGCAGGAGAGAGCGTGACCTTGTCCTGCAGCTCCCGGAGCTCCTATGACATGTACCATCTATCCAGGGAGGGGGAGGCCCATGAACGTAGGTTTTCTGCAGGGCCCAAGGTCAACGGAACATTCCAGGCTGACTTTCCTCTGGGCCCTGCCACCCACGGAGGAACCTACAGATGCTTCGGCTCTTTCCGTGACTCTCCCTACGAGTGGTCAAACTCGAGTGACCCACTGCTTGTTTCTGTCACAGGTGAGGAAAGCCCATGGCTGTCCCATGTCCTATGATCCTAGAGCCTTAGCTGAGGAGCTTCCTGCTGAGGATGGAGAGAAGGATGAACAGATGCAGAGAGAAGACGAAGCTTGGGTGTGAGGGAGGGATCAGGGCACAGGATGGCAGACAGGGCACCTCCAAACCCTCCTACATGGCCTGCATGAAGGCCTGCGGCCAGGACTCCAGGCACCCAGGCAGATGGAGAAAGCGGTCAGGAGAGACCCAGAGGAGGGAGACTGGGCTCAGTTTGGGAAGATCAGAGGTTCCCTCAGCCCCTCAACATTACCCATTTCCCAGAAGCCCATCCTGGCCTCCCACCCACACAGGGATGTCATCACCTGCAACCCCTACACCCTTTACTTTTGTTTGAGAAATATTTATTGAGGATAAATATACCTATATAGCTTACCACCTTTAACATTTTTTTTTTGAGGCGGAGTCTAGCTCTGTCCCCTATGCTGGAGTGCATTGGCACAATCTCAGCTCACTGCAACTTCCGCCTCCTGGGTTCAAGCGATTCTCTTGCCTCAGCCACCTGAGTAGCTGGTGCTACAGGCGCGCACCACCATGCCAGGCTACTTTTTGTATTTTTAGTAGAGAGGGGGTTTCACCATGTTGGTCAAGCTGGTCTCGAACTCCTGACCACGTGATCCACCCGCATCAGCCTCCCAAAGTGCTGGGATTACAGGCATGAGCCACCACGCCCAGCCACATTTACCATTTTTAAGTGTAAAGTCTAGTGGTCATAAATACATTAATATATATATATATACACATATTTTTTTTTACCCTCCACCCTTTTCTTCCTGGCCTCTGGTAGCCACCATTCTACTCTCTACCTTCATGAGATCCACCTTTTAGCTCCTGTATATGGGTAAGAAATGGGAATCTTTGTAATGACCTCCAGTTCCATCCATGTGGCTGCAAATATCAGGATGTTTTTCTTTCTATGGAAGAGTAGTCTCCACTATGCAAATGTACCACATTCTCTCTATCCATTCACCCACTGATGGGCAGGTAGGTTGACTCCTCATCTTGGCTACTGTGAAGAGTGCTGCACCAATCATACGAGTGCAGATATCACTTCGATATATTGATTTACTTTCCTTTGGATATAAACCCAGTAGTGAAATTGCTGGATACTATGAAAGTTCTCTTTTTAGTTTTTCGTTTGTTGTTTTGTTTTTGTTTTTGAGACAGTTTCCCTCTGTGCCCAGGCTGGAGTACAAGTGATGTCATCTTGGCTCATTGCAACCTCTGCCTCCTGGGTTCAAATGATTTTCCTGCCTCAGCCTCCCTAGTATCAGGGATTATAGGCGCACGCCACCATGCCTGGCTACTTTTTGTTTTTTTTAGTATAGATGCGGTTTCCCCATGTTGGCTGGGCTGCTCTCAAACTCATGACCTCAACTGAGGTGCCCGCCTCGGTCTCCCAAAGTGCCGGGATTACAGGCATGATCCACCTCACCCAACCTCTTTTTAGTTCTTTAAAGGACTTCCACACTTTTCTCCGTAATGGCTGTACTAATTTACACTCCTACCAACAGGATACCAGGATTCTCCTTTCTCTAACACCTTGCCAGCATTTCTTTTGCCTGTCTTGCAGCTAAAAGCCATTTTATTTTATTTCATTTTATTTTGAGATGGAGTTTCGCTCTTGTCACCCAGGCTGAGTGCAGTGGTGCGATCTCGGCTCACCACAACCTCCACCTCCCAGGTTCAAGCGATTCTCCTGCCTCAGCCTCCCGAGTAGCTGGAATTACAGGCACACGCCACCACGCCCGACTAATTTTTGTATTTTTAGTAGAGACAGTGTTTCTCCATGTGGGTCAGACTGGTCTCAAACTCCCGACCTTATGAGATTCACCCACCTCAGGCTCTCAAAGTTCTAGGATGACAGACGTGAGCCACCACGCCCGGCCTAAAAGCCATTTTAATGGGGTGAGATGAAAACTCACTTTGATTTTAATTTGTGTTTCTCTGATGATGAGTGATACTGAGCACTTTTTCGTATGTGGGGAAATTTCATGTCTTTTGCTCCTGTTTCAATTAAATCATTTGTTTTATTGAGTTGTTTGAGCTTCTTATATTTCTAGTTATTAATCCCATCTCAGATGCATAGTTTGCACATATTTGCTCCCAATCTGTGGGTTGTCTCTTCACTTTGTTGGTTTATTTTTAGCGGTGCAGAAGTTGCTTAGTTTGAGGTAATCCCAATGGTCTATTTTTGCTTCGATTACTTGTGTTTTGAAGGTTTAAAACAAAATGTCTTCCTTCAGACAAACGTCCTGGAGCATTTCCCCAATATTTTCTTCTACGTGTTTCATAGGTTCAGGCCTTAGACTCACATCTTTAATCCATTTTCATTTGATTTTTGTGTATAGTGACAGGCAGAGGTGCAGTTTCATTCCTCTGCATGTCGATGTCCAGGTTTCCCTGCACTGTTTATTGAAAAGACTGTCCTTTCCTGATTGTGAGTTCTTGGCACCTTTGTCAAAGTCCATTGGATGGGCTGGGCATGGTGGCTGACACCTGCAATTTCAGCACTTTGGGAGCCCGAGGTGGGTGGATCACCTGAGGCCAAGAGTTCAAGATTAGTCTGGCCAACGTGATGAAACATCGTCTCCACTAAAAATATAAAAATTAGCTGAGCATGGTGGTCAGCACCTGTAATACCACTACTCAGGAGTTTGAGGCAAGAGAAGTGATTGAACCCAGGAGGCTGTGGTGGCAGTGAACCGAGATTGCACCTCTGCACTCCAGCCTGGGTGACAGAGCAAGACTCCATCTCAAAAGAAAAACAAAAAATACATTGGAGGTAAATGCATGGATTATATCTGTGTTATTCATTCTGCTCCGTTGTTCTATGTGCCTTTCTTCATGCCAACGTCATGCTGTCTTGCTTACTACAGCTCTGTAACATATTTTGAGATCAGGTAGTGTGATGCTCCTGTTTTCTCTTTATACCTTGAAGTCTCAAGACAGTAGCCGTCACATACAAAAATTACGGAAAAAAGGATCCCAGGACTCCCAGGGCCCAATATTAGATAACAGAGTGTTGGCCATGAACCAACCTCAAAGATTTCCACTGAGTAGAGGACAGACACCCTCATTTCCTCACCTCTCTCCTGTCTCATGTTCTAGGAAACCCTTCAAATAGTTGGCCTTCACCCACTGAACCAAGCTCCAAAACCGGTGAGTACAGAACCCTCTTATATCCGCTTTTGGAAACCTGGGGAGGTGGAAACCTTGGATTCAGGCGTTGACTCAGCATCTCACAGCTCTGACATTGTACGCCTGTCTTCTACCATCTCCAAACTCCAGATACTCCAACAGCGAAAGGGATCTGGACCCAAAACAGGGCTCTGTGAAATCTCTTAATCTCTCATTTTATGGAGCTGAGATCTCCTACAAGCTAGAAAAATGATTGGCAATCTGACATCCTTCTCAGGAAAAATGCAATGTTTGTTCTGCCTGCATTCCTAACTGGAGGATAAATTCCTGGGGGCTTGAGAGAGGGAAGGGTAGGGAACATTTGATGAGGGCGAGGTGTTTTAGAGAAGTTCCACTTGCCCAGGAATGAATTACTGTTGGTCATGAAGCAACCCTGGCTGACTCAGCAGAGCAAGAGCTTTGCCTTAACAGAGAACGGAGCTCATGCACGCACACTTCGACTCACTGACTCATTCAGCCACGGCCCCATGCTCAGGCCGTGGAAAAGGCAATTCCCAGCACTGCAGGAGGCCAAGGCGGGTGGATCACTTGAAGTCAGGAGTTCCAGACCAGCCTGGCCAAAATGGTGAAACCCTGTCTCTATGAAAAATACAAAAATTAGCCGAGCATGGTGGTGCATCCCTGTAATCCCAGCTCCTACTCTTGAGGATGAAGCAGGAGAACGACTTCAACCCAGGAGGTGGAGGTTGCAGTGAGTGGAGATTGCATCACTGCACTCCAGCCTGGGTGACACAAGGAGACTCCGTCTCAAAAAATAAAAATAAGAAATGCATAAATATAATAAAACACACACGAATGACAAAGGCACCTGAATTCCAATCATCATTTTTGTATTTCTCTATAATTACTTCTTTGATCCTTTGTCTTATCCATTAGGCAATGAGCCTAAAACCTCTTCCGTATTTGGCTTTCTGTGAGCATGAGACCATATAGAAAATGTGAAAGCCCGCTGAATCCTCCAGCACAGATCGTGGAATAGAGAAAGTGCTCTGTTCATCACAAAAAAAACTTGCCCTCTCACTCAAATCCCCCACTTCACCCCTACTTCCAATCACCTGTGGAGATTCAGATAGACCATGGGGAGGTAAACATTAATACTCCTTGGAGTGAGTCCAGATCTTGGAATGAGAGATCAGCACCAGCACTAGCTCCTGCTCCCCTTTCCTACTAATTCACAGGAGGACAGGTGGTATTGAAGCAATAGATGGTGGAGGGGGTGGTCCTTCCCCCAGCCTCTCAGGTAGAACAGCAGCCTAACATGTGTCTCCCGAGATCACAAAGAGTAGGACGTTTCACAGGGGCTTCAACACGATTTCCTGGCTGTTGGACATAAGATAACTCTATTTCGCTTTTTTATCTTGATTTCACTTTTGTTTCCTTTCCTTGGAGAACGCAAGTTGTTTGACTCAAGAATGCTGTGGATGTAGAAATCCTAAAGCACATTCGCTGTGTGTCAATCCCAGTGCAGTCTTCCCAGAAAAGACCCTAAACACCTCCTAGACTGCACCTGGGCCTACGCCAATTCCTATCACTCACCGTCACTCCAGGGAGACAGAACACACAGAGAATACGTTACATAGGCAGGTTCATTACTAACAGATAAGCAGCGAGTGAAAACAGAAGCCTACATTTCAATGTGAGCCAGTCCCTCAAGGCTCAGAAAAGCTGCTCGGGACATATGGAGTCACCCCATTTGCAGTGTAGCTGGGGGAAGCCAGAAAGCAGCCCAGCCTGGGTTTTGTACCCTGGAGCCACAGGAAGCACTCAGCTAAAGCACTGCATGACGTCCTCCTCCAGGAAGAACAGGAAGACAGCCCAGGCTGCTCTGGGACGTTCCTCCTGATCTCAGGACGTTGCTGTCTTAGTCCATTTTTGTTGCTCTAAAGGAACACTTGAGCCTGGGCAACTTCTAAAGAAAAGAGATTGGTTTGCCTCACCGTTCTGCAGGCTGTACTGGAAGCATGGCACCAGCATCTATTTCTCGTGATGGCCTCAGGCTGCTCCCACTCTGGCAGAAGGGAAGGAGGGTCTGTCTGTGCAGAGACCACAGAGATCACACGGCAAGAGAGGGAGCAAGGGGGAGGGGGAGCGATGGAGCTTCCAAGTTCTTTTGAACAACCAGCTCTCCAGGAACTAATAGAGGGGGAACTAGCTAACCCCGTCTCCTTGGGACAGCATTGATCTGTTCATGATGGATCCACCTCCATGACCCAAACACCTCTCAAGAGGCCCAACCTCCCACAGTGGGGGTGAAATTTCAATGTGAGGTTTGAAGGGGTCAAACATCTCAACTAAAGTAGTTGTGTCCTCAGCACATTCTATGGTTACTTTGAGAGCTATAACTGAGAAAGCAGGAGAAAGCTGGGTCTCCCGCCATCTGGGTGCTTGTCCTAAAGAGGTGTTTTACGTGGTTACCTGTCAATCAAGAAATGCGAGACAATTCATAAAGAGGAACTGCTATGATTAGCTTCTTATTGGTGTCTCATCTTCTTCCAGGTAACCCAAGACACCTGCACGTTCTGATTGGGACCTCAGTGGTCATCATCCTCTTCATCCTCCTCCTCTTCTTTCTCCTTCATCGCTGGTGCTCCAACAAGAAAAGTAAGTCTCACGAAGGAGAGGCCAGAGAGCTCAGGGCCATGTGGGGAAGCAGGATGGGAGCACTCAGGTGTGTGTTCCTCACAGGTAGGATGGTCCCTGGCCCAAGGCAGCAGCCACAGAGGCAGGACTTTCTAGAGAGGGCACCAGACTCCCTGTCCCTGCTTTCAGCTCACAGACCGTTGCCTGATTCTGAACTGTATCCTCATGTCCCCTGCAGCCACTCACATCCAGGAGAAGGTTCCATGACAGGCAGAAAGTGGGAGACAGAATCAATGGGATGGGAACTCAGAGCTATTCATGGGATGGGTCCTTGAGCTCAGAGAGATAGAATGTCTGAGTCTGCTGTTGGCAACTGAGGGACCTCAGGCACCTATGGCCTCCCCCTGTTTGTTGGTATCTGCTTATGAAATGAGGACCCAGAAGTGCCCTCCGAGCTCTTTTGTTGACTTCCGTCTCCTACACATGCTGCTGTAATGGACCAAGAGCCTGCAGGGAACAGAACAGCGAATAGCGAGGTAGGTGCTCCTCGGCCCAGCCTCGTGGCTAGTGTTATTCCCAAACAGTCCTGGAAAACGTGAGCACCCTCCCTCACTCAGGATTTCCCTCTCTCCAGGACTCTGATGAACAAGACCCTCAGGAGGTGACATACGTACAGTTGGATCACTGCGTTTTCACACAGAGAAAAATCACTCGCCCTTCTCAGAGGCCCAAGACACCCCCAACAGATACCAGAGTGTACACGGAACTTCCAAATGCTGAGTCCAGATCCAAAGTTGTCTCCTGCCCATGAGCACCACAGTCAGGCCTTGAGGGGATCTTCTAGGGAGACAACAGCCCTGTCTCAAAACCGGGTTGCCAGCTCCCATGTACCAGCAGCTGGACTCTGAAGGCGTGAGTCTGCATCTTAGGGCATCGCTCTTCCTCACACCACAAATCTGAATGTGCCTCTCTCTTGCTTACAAATGTCTAAGGTCCCCACTGCCTGCTGGAGAGAAAACACACTCCTTTGCTTAGCCCACAATTCTCCATTTCACTTGACCCCTGCCCACCTCTCCAACCTTACTGGCTTACTTCCTAGTCTACTTGAGGCTGCAATCACACTGAGGAACTCACAGTTCCAAACATACAAGAGGCTCCCTCTTAACACGGCACTTAGACACGTCCTGTTCCACCTTCCCTCATGCTGTTCCACCTCCCCTCAGAGTATCTTTCAGCCTTCTGTCAGCAGTAAAACTTATATATTTTTTAAAATAATTTCAATGTAGTTTTCCCTCCTTCAAATAAACATGTCTGCCCTCATGGTTTCGGTAATGGGACTCTTTTCTTGCCTAAGACTTCCATTATCATTACCATGTCCACATAACCCCATCTGTTCTCCACTGGGTTCTCACCCCCGGACTCTGAGTTTCTGGAAGCAGGGTGGAGCCTCATTTGTCTCTGGGACTCCTATTTCCATCCAAAGATGTAGCACATAGGAGGTTCCAAGGATCGGGAATCACATGAACAAGTGATATTCTTACTCTCTGCAGACCTGGAAATCTGGCAGAGTCATTCCAAGATGAAACATTTGTAGAATCATAGGCCTTGTTAGTCTCATCTACACAGGGACACATATCAACACATCATCTTTCACACTATAAATATACAGTCACTCCTCCATATCTGTGGGGTTTACAGTTCTTTATTGAACCGAGTATAAATCAAAAATATTCAGAGAAAGTATCCACAGAGTTACAAAAAGCAGAACTGTGTTGAATGGACACAAATGAAGCTGTGTGTAGGCTGCATCAGGAATTATAAGTAATCTAGAGATGATTTCATGTATACAGGAGGATGTGCATAGGTTATTTGCAAACTCTGTGCCATTTCATATAAGAGGCTTGAGCATCTACAGATTTTGGTATCTGAGTGGAGATCTCGAAACCAATCACCCACGAATAGTGAAGGATGACCGTATATGACTTTTATTTCTCAAATTTAAATATAAATCATAAAAAATGTACAACTAGATAAAAACTAAGAAGTGTTTTTATAGTGTGAGTTAGATTTATTTTTTCCTAGGTATAACCCATTGGTTTAATATTATTTATTGAGAAGACATTCTATGCCACCTTAAACCACACGGCAGCCTTTGTCAACTCTAAAGGGACTGTGTGTACACGGATGTACTTTAGACACTGTTTCTGCTAAGGGGCTCTCTGTGTCCACACTCTTGATGATGCTGCACTTTATGTAGCCTTATAGAACCCTTTAAATTTAGTAGCCAGAGCTCTCTAATTTGTTATTATAGGCTATTTGCTTTTTTTTCTTGAGGCGGAGTCTTGCTCTGTCGCCCAGGCTGGACTGCAGTGACACAATCTCAGCTCACTGCAACTTCTGCCTCCCAGGTTCAAGCGATTCTCATGCCTCAGCCTCTTGAGTAGCTGGCGTTACAGGTGCCTGCCACCAGGCACGGCTAATTTTTGGATTTTTAGCAGAGACACGGTTTCACTATATTGGCCAGGCTGCTCTCAAACTCCTTATCTCAGTTGATCCGCCCACCTCGGCTTCCCAACGTGCTGGGGAAACTTGATTTTCTATAGCATTATGTTACTGGATATTTCTGTAAAATTTAAAATGAGGGAGGGAGAGAGACAGACGGAAAACAAACTCCAGAGTTGGGACTCTGGAATCTTGGGTCATGAGACAAATTTTAGATTAAACTACAAAACTCCAGAATTTACAGGTGGGGTTTTTACTGATAAAGTACAATTCTAAGATTGTAAATAATTGCATAATCCTTCCCTGGGAATTTAAATCATTTTAACTGGTTCTGCTGTAATACTAGAAATACAAGCATGAAAAATTCTAATGGTTTATTAGTGACAATGACTCTGAAAACATTAATAATACCTATTAGATATTTTGCATATTACACAGGAAGAAGAGTTTGAATCTCAGATAAAAACAATAGAAATACATGAAAAGTCTTTCATGTTAGCACAGATTTTAGGCATCTCGTGTTCGGGAGGTTGGATCTCAGACGTGTTTTGAGTTGGTCATAGTGAAGGACACTAGGTGTCAAATTCTAGCGAGAACAATTTCCAGGAAGCCGTGTTCCGCTCTTGAGCGAGCACCCACTGGGCCTCATGCAAGGTAGAAAGAGCCTGCGTACGTCACCCTCCCATGATGTGGTCAACATGTAAACTGCATGGGCAGGGCGCCAAATAACATCCTGTGCGCTGCTGAGCTGAGCTCGGTCGCGGCTGCCTGTCTGCTCCGGCAGCACCATGTCGCTCTTGGTCGTCAGCATGGCGTGTGTTGGTGAGTCCTGGAAAGCAATAGAGGGAGGGAGTGAGGGGATGGAGATCTGGGCCCAGAGGTGGAGATATAGGCCTGGAGGTGGAGTTATGGGCCTGGAGTGGAGATCTGGGCCTGGAGTGGATATATGGGCCTAGAGATGGAGTGATGGGCCTAGAAGTGGAGATCTGGGCCCAGAGGTCGAGATATAGGCCTGGAGGTGGAGTGATGGGACTGTAGTGGAGATCTGGGCCTGGAGTGGAGATAGGAACCTGGAGGGGAGATAGGAACCTGGAGGGGAGATATGGGCCTGGAGGTGGAGATATGGGCCTGGAGTGGAGTCATGGGCCTGGAGGTGGAGTTATGGGCCTGCAGTAGAGATATGGGCCTGAAGTGGAGACATGGGCCTGGAGTGGAGATATGGGCCAGGAGTGGAGATATGGGCCTAGAGGTCGATATCTGGGCCTGGAGTGGAGATATGGGCCAGGAGTGGAGATATGGGCCTAGAGGTCGATATCTGGGCCTGGAGAGGAGATATGTGCCTAGGATGGAGATACGGGCCTGGGTGTGGAGATATGGGACTGGAGAGGATATATGGGCCTGGAGTGGAGATATGGGACTGGAGAGGAGATATGGACCTGGAGTGGAGATAAGGGCCTGGATTGGAGATATGGGCCCAGGGTGGAGATCTGAGCCTGGATTGGAGATATGGGCCTGGATTGGCGATATGGGCTTAGGGTGGAAATATCGGCCTGGAGTGGAGATATGGGCCTGGAGTGGAGATATGGGCTTGAGGTGGGGATATGGACCTGGAGGCTGGGTCTCTGCACAGCCGACAGCCCTGTTCTTGGGTGCAGGTAGGCACTGAGGGTGAGTTTACCTTCAGCCCAGGAAGGGCCTGGCTACCAAGACTCACAGCCCAGTGGGGGCAGCAAGGGTGCCCTGGTTTGCCTGCAGATGGGTCATCCATCATGATCTTTCTTTCCAGGGTTCTTCTTGCTGCAGGGGGCCTGGCCACATGAGGGTGAGTCCTTCTCCCAACCTTCGGGTGTCATCTCCCCACATAAGAGGATTTTCCTGAAATGGGAGGGAAGTCCTGTCAGGGAGTCTCTCATAAACTAGGAAGAAGGGACCCTGGGGTGCTGGGCCCACATTTCTGACCTTGCCTCCCTGGCCTTTCATTCCCTTGGCAGAGTCAAGTTCTGTGGGGACCAGGGTTAGACTACGGTGCTCAAAGCTGGGGTGTGTGGTGGGGAAGTGGTAGGAACAGCAGATCCTCTGAGGACAAAGGTGTTACTCACACACTTCAGCGTTTCCATGACGGTAGGGGCTGCAGTGTGGCTGCTGTCATTCTACCAGAAGAGGTGGGAAAACCACAGCCATGGCCCTGACATTCCAATCCTCTGATGGGGACTCAGTTGTTTATTTTCGTTCAGGCATCGGCTGATATTCCATTCTCAAAGGACATGCCCTCCACCCCATGTCTACCCTGTGTTGTTTTATGTGAGTAATCTTACAGTATTAAAATCTAGTAGGAGTCTCTTACTCAGCACTTGCTCAAAGTTCTCAGCTGACACTTTTGTTGTAGGGAGACACCTTGTGTTTGCGGGATGGGTCCTTCCTTTAGCCCTGGGCACCAAGGTGTGATAGCAGCCATAGAAACTTGGAAAGCGAGGAGAATCTTCAGAGCACAGGGAGGGAGGGGCGGCTCCACATCCTCCTCTCTAAGGCGGTGCCTCCTTCTCCCCACGGTGGTCAGGACAAGCCCTTGCTGTCTGCCTGGCCAAGCCCTGTGGTGCCTCCAGGACATGTGATTCTTCAGTGTCATTCTTATCTTGGGTTTAACAACTTCAGTCTGTAAAAGGAAGATGGGGTGCCTGTCCCTGAGCTCTACAACATAATATTCTGGAACAGCCTTTTCATGGGCCCTGTGACCCCAGCACACGCAGGGACCTATACATGTCGGGGTTCACAACCACACTACCCCAGTGGGTGGTCGGCACCCAGCAACCCCCTGGAGATCACGGTCACAGGTCAGAGGGCTCCTGTCTGGGATTCTCCTTGTCCCACCTCCTGAATCCCAGAGCTCCTGGTGGGCGTGTCCTTGCGGGTCCCATCATGCAAGTCCTGACTGTATTTGGGGTAAAGGGGGATTGAATACAGGGAAATGGGTGCTGTGGTGGGAAGAATAATTGTCCCCAGTGATGACTACATTCTAATCCCTGGAGTCTGTGACTATTTATGATATAGGGGAAGGGACTGAAGGAGAAGATGGAGCTCAGGTTGTTGATGAGTTGACCTTGAGATGGGGAGACAGCCTGGACTGTCCTGATGGGCTCAGTGTAGTCACAGGGGTCCACATGAAAGGAGGAGGAAGAGGGGAGTGGGGATTACAGCAGCATAATGGGAGTCTCCATCAGCTTTGAAGGTGGAGGAAGTCCAGGAGCCATGAATGCAGGTGGCCTATAGAGGCTGGAAAAGTCAAGGAACTGATTCTCCTGAGTCTCCAGAGGGAACGAAGCCCTGCAGGTGCCTTGATTTTACCCACGACAAACAGGGTCCGATTTCTGTCTCCAGAATTGGAAGGGGTTAGTGTGCTCTCTCCTGGTGCCATGCTTCTGATAATTTTCTACAGCAGCAACAGGAAACCAACACTGGAACCCAGGTCAAGGACAAGTTAAGAAACAACACAAGGATAGCCAGGCATGGTGGCAGGTGCATGTAATCCTAGCGACTTGGGAGGCTGAGGGCAGGAGAATCACTTGAACCCAGGAGACAGAGGTTGCAGTGAGCCTAGACCACACCACTTCACTCCAGCCTGGGCAAAGGAGTGAGACTCTGTCGCCAAAATTAATTAATTAATTAAAGAAACCAAACAAGGAGAAGGTTGGCTACACTGAGATCAGCAAGGCTCAGATGATGATGCCACCACCAGGCTCCATCCACATAGGGAGGGGTTGATACTCCTCCAACCAGCACCAGGAGCCAGCCTATGGAAGCTGGCACTGGCATGGCAAGAGTGGCTCCCAGTCCCTACCAGGAACAGGGTGTGTGGCCACTGGTGCCTGCCTTACTGATCAGTTCATACCTCCTGCCAAGGATTCCAATTCGTCCAAAAGAGATTGAACCAGGCTGCTAAGAGCCTGGATGTGCAGCCTATCCTGGTTCCTCTTCCACCCCCACATAGACAGCAGGAAAGACATTAGTTCGAAATAGATACAACAGCCCAAGAGATGAGGCTGAGCCCAGCGGCAAGGGAATCAGAGGCTACTAGAGACAGAGGGACAGAGAAGAGTGAGGGAGACAGATGGAAGGACCTGCACCAGGAGTTATGGGCACAGAAAAGAACATGAAGACACAGAGAGGAAGGAGAGAGATAAGACACCAGGAAGGGGAAGCCTGACTCAATCCAGGTGCCATGGATGGGATGATAAAGAGAGACACCTTCTAAACTCACAACCTCTCTTCCTAGGAGTCCACAGAAAACCTTCCCTCCTGGCCCACCCAGGTCGCCTGGTGAAATCAGAAGAGACAGTCATCCTGCAGTGTTGGTCAGATGTCATGTTTGAACACTTCCTTCTGCACAGAGAGGGGATGTTTAACGACACTTTGCGCCTCATTGGAGAACACCATGATGGGGTCTCCAAGGCCAACTTCTCCATCAGTCGCATGACGCAAGACCTGGCAGGGACCTACAGATGCTACGGTTCTGTTACTCACTCCCCCTATCAGGTGTCAGCTCCCAGTGACCCTCTGGACATCGTGATCATAGGTGAGAGTGTCCAGACTTTCTTCTCATTGTCATTGGGATGCAGAGTGAATGATCCAGGAATTGGAGACCCAGGTGGCTGTAAGGAAGATGAGCTTGGTATTCTTATGGAGAGAGACTGACTTGGTGAGGTCTGTGCCAACAGAGACAGAGAAACAGGAGACACAAGTAGAGACCAGGTGTCATAACAGAGAACAGACACAGGGGCCATACCGGGAGTTAGAAAAGACAGAAAGAGTTAAAGGAGACACACAGACAGACATGTCCCAGAGAGAGGTGTCCCTCCATGCTGACTTTGCTCAGAGACCTGGCACAGGTTAGAAGTTTCATTTCTGTTTTACCTCCACAAAGTGTTCTCTACCAGGAGAACCCAAGGACACCCATATTTCTGACCTGAGTTGGGCCCTGTGGCCTCAGGCCTTGTGGCACCTACAGATGCCATGTTTATTCTGACACCTCTGCCTTCCATGTAATGGAGAGTAATCGTCCCAGGATATCATGGCCCCACAACACCAACCCCTGTATGCTGTGTGAACTTGTAGTCTCCAGACTGGATTCTGAGGCTCATATTCCAAATAAGCCCACTTATGAGAGGATCAGTGAGAGGCACAGAGAGAAATCAGGGACACCAAAAAGCAAAGACATAAACACACAGAGAATGAGCCAGAGGAAGGAGATTGAGAGACTCACAGACACATAAAGAGAGAGAAAAGAGGGCAGAGGAGTGGTGAGAATGATGGAAGGGAGCAGAGAAAAGCACTAAAATTAGACTCCTGAGGGAGAGGCACAAGGACATTGAAAGATGGAGATGTGGGGATGAATTGCAGAGATTCCAAAGAGAACTAGAGAGACCGAGAGGCAGAGCAAGACAGATGATAGATGGATAGATATAGATAGATGATAAATAGGTAGATGATAGATAATAGGTTATAGATACATAGATGATGATTGATTGATTCATTAATAGATGAGACATAGAGATGATGATGATGAAGACAGATAGATAGATAATACATAGAGATACAGAGGCAGACATAGAGAAATCATAGAGAGAGAGAGATGATACATAGATATAGATAATAGATGATTGATGGATAGATAGACAATTGATGGATAAATAGATGATATATAGATATAGATGACAGGTAGAGAATTTGTAGATAGGCACCGAATAGATAAATAGATAGATCGATAGATAATAGATAGAAATATGCAGAAAGTTATGAACAGGACACAAAGTGAGAAACTCAGAATTAAAAAAAGTAACATCAAGTCAACCAATCCAAGGAGAGTCAGAGAGAATAAAACAATCCAAAAAGAGAAAACATATCTAGAGGTGGGGAAGTGAGGTCAGAGACCTAGAGAGACAGAGAAGGTGGAAGGAGGAAATAGACATGAAGAGCGATGGGGTAGAGGGTGAGAGAGAGAGAGAGAGAGCATTAGGTCATAGAACAGGGGAGTGAGTTCTCAGCTCAGGTGAAGGGAGCTGTGACAAAGAAGATCCTCCCTGAGGAAACTGCCTCTTCTCCTTCCAGGTCTATATGAGAAACCTTCTCTCTCAGCCCAGCTGGGCCCCACGGTTCTGGCAGGAGAGAATGTGACCTTGTCCTGCAGCTCCCGGAGCTCCTATGACATGTACCATCTATCCAGGGAAGGGGAGGCCCATGAACGTAGGCTCCCTGCAGGGCCCAAGGTCAACGGAACATTCCAGGCTGACTTTCCTCTGGGCCCTGCCACCCACGGAGGGACCTACAGATGCTTCGGCTCTTTCCATGACTCTCCATACGAGTGGTCAAAGTCAAGTGACCCACTGCTTGTTTCTGTCACAGGTGAGGAAAGCCCATGGCTGTCCCATGTCCTATGATCCTAGAGCCTTAGCTGAGGAGCTTCCTGCTGAGGATGGAGAGAAGCATGGACAGATGCAGAGAGAAGACGCAGCCTCGGTGTGAGGGAGGGATCAGGGCACAGGATGGCCGACAGGGCACCTCCAAACCCTCCTACATGGCCTGCATGGAGGCCCACGGCCAGGGCTCCAGGCACCCAGGCAGATGGAGAAAGCGGTCAGGAGAGACCCAGAGGAGGGAGACTGGGCTCAGTTTGGGGAGATCAGAGGTTCCCTCAGCCCCTCAACCTTACCCATTTCCCAGAAGCCCATCCTGGCCTCTCACCCACACAGAGATGTCATCACCAGCAACCCCTACACCCTTTACTTTTCTTTGAAGAAATATTTATTGAGGATAAATATACCTATATAGCTTACCACTTTTAACATTTTTTTTTGAGGTGGAGTCTAGCTCTGTCCCCTATGATGGAGTGCAGTGGCACAATCTCAGCTCACTGCAACCTCCGCCTCCTGGGTTCAAGCGATTCTCCTGCCTCAGCCACCTGAGTAGCTAGTGCTACAGGCACGCACCACCACGCCAGGCTACTTTTTGTATTTTTAGTAGAGAGGTGGTTTCACCATGTTGGTCGAGCTGGTCTCGAACTCCTGACCACGTGATCCACCCGCATCAGCCTCCCAAAGTGCTGGGATTACAGGCATGGGCCACCAGGCCCAGCCACATTTACCATTTTTAAGTGTAAAGTCTAGTGGTCATAAATACATTTTTATATATATATATATATACATTTTTTTTACCCTCCACCCTTTTCTTCCTGTCCTCCAGTAGCCACCATTCTACTCTCTACCTTCATGAGATCCACCTTTTAGCTCCTGTATATGGGTGAGAAATGGGAATCTTTTTAATGACCTCCAGTTCCATCCATGTGGCTGCAAATGACAGGATGTTATTCTTTCTATGGATGAGTAGTCTCCACTGTGCGTATGTACTACATTCTCTCTATCCATTCACCCACTGATGGGCAGGTAGGTTGACTCCTCATCTTGGCTACTGTGAACAGTGCTGCACCAATCATACGAGTGCAGATATCACTTCGATATGTTGATTTACTTTCCTTTGGATATAAACCCAGTAGTGAAATTGCTGGATACTATGAAAGTTCTCTTTTTTTTTTTTTTTTCTTTTTTGAGAAAGAGTTTCCCTCCTTAGCCCAAGCTGGAGTCAAAGTGGTGCAACCTTGGCTCATTGCAACCTCCGCCTCCTGGGTTCAAATGATTTTCCTGCCTCAGCCTCCCTAGTAGCTGGGATTACAGGTGCACACCACCATGCCTGGCTACTTTTTGGTTTTTTTAGTATAGATGCGGTTTCCCCATGTTGGCTGGGCTGCTCTCAAACTCATGACCTCAACTGAGGTGCCCGCCTCAGTCTCCCAAAGTGCCGGGATTACAGGCATGATCCACCTCACCCAACCTCTTTTTAGTTCTTTAAAGGACTTCCATACTTTTCTCCGTAATGGCTGTACTAATTTACACTCCTCCCAACAGGGTACCAGGGTTCTCCTTTCTCTACCACCTTGCCAGCATTTCTTTTGCCTGTCTTGCAGCTAAAAGCCATTTTATTTTATTTCATTTTATTTTGAGATGGAGTTTTGCTCTTCTCACCCAGGCTGGAGTGCAGTGGCGCTATCTCGGCTCACCACAACCTCCACCTCCCAGGTTCAAGCGATTCTCCTGCCTCAGCCTCCCGAGTAGCTGGAATTACAGGCACACGCCACCACGCCCTACTAATTTTTGTATTTTTAGTAGAGACAGCGTTTCTCTATGTGGGTCAGACTGGTCTCAAACTCCCAACCTTATGAGATTCACCCACCTCAGGTTCTCAAAGTTCTAGGATGACACAAGTGAGCCACCTCACCCGGCCTAAAAGCCATTTTAATGGGGTGAGATGAAAACTCACTTTGATTTTAATTTGCGTTTCTCTGATGATGAGTGATACTGAGCACTTTTTCGTATGTGGGGAAATTTCATGTCTTTTGCTCCTTTTTCAATTAAATCATTTGTTTTATTGAGTTGTTTGAGCTTCTTATATTTCTAGTTATTAATCCCATCTCAGATGCATAGTTTGCACATATTTGCTCCCAATCTGTGGGTTGTCTCTTCACTTTGTTGGTTTATTTTTAGCAGTGCTGAAGTTGCTTAGTTTGAGGTAATCCCAATGGTCTATTTTTGCTTCGATTACTTGTGTTTTGAAGGTTTAAAACAAAATGTCTTCCTTCAGACAAACGTCCTGGAGCATTTCCCCAATATTTTGTTCTACGTGTTTCATAGGTTCAGGCCTTAGACTCACATCTTTAATCCATTTTCATTTGATTTTTGTGTATGGTGACAGGTAGAGTTGCAGTTTCATTCCTCTGCATGTAGATGTCCAGGTTTCCCTGCACTGTTTATTGAAAAGACTGTCCTTTCCTGATTGTGAGTTCTTGGCATCTTTGTCAAAGTCCATTGGATGGGCTGGGCTTGGTGGCTAACACCTGCAATTTCAGCACTTTGGGAGCCCGAGGTGGGTGGATCACCTGAGGCCAGGAGTTCAAGATTAGTCTGGCCAACGTGATGAAACATCGTCTCCACTAAAAATATAAAAATTAGCTGAGCATGGTGGTCAGCACCTGTAATACCACTACTCAGGAATTTGAGGCAAGAGAATGATTGAACCCAGGAGGCTGAGGTTGCAGTGAACCGAGATTGCACCTCTGCACTCCAGCCTGAGTGACAGAGCAAGACTCCATCTCAAAAGAAAAAATAAAAAACCATTGGATGTAAATGCATGGAATATATCTGTGTTATTCATTCTGCTCCGTTGTTCTATGTGCCTTTCTTTATGCCAATGTCATGCTATTTTGCTTACTACAGCTCTGTAACATATTTTGAGATCAGGTAGTGTGATGCTCCTGTTTTCTCTTTATATCTTGAAGTCTCAAGACAGTGGGTGTCATATAAAAAAATTATGGAAAAAAGGATCCCAGGACTCCCAGGGCTCAATATTAGATAAGAGAGTGTTGGCCATGAACCATCCTCAAAGATTTCCACTGAGTGGAGGACAGACACCCTCATTTCCTCACCTCTCTCCTGTCTCATGTTCTAGGAAACCCTTCAAATAGTTGGCCTTCACCCACTGAACCAAGCTCCAAAACCGGTGAGTACAGAACCCTCTTATATCCGCTTTTGGAACCCTGGGGAGGTGGGAACCTTGGATTCAGGCGTTGACTCAGCATCTCACAGCTCTGACATTGTACACTTGTCTTCCACCATCTCCGAACTCCAGATACTCCTACAGCGAAAGGGATCTGGGCCCAACACAGGGCTCAGTGAAATCTCTTCATCTCTCATTTTATGGAGCTGAGACCTCCTACAAGCTAGAAGAATGATTGCCAATCTGACATCCTTCTCAGGAAAAATGCAATGTTTGTTCTACCTGCATTCCTAACTGGAGGATAAATTCCTGGAGACTTGAGAGAGGGAAGGGAAGGGAACATCTGATGAGGGCAAGGTGTTTTAGAGAAGTTCCACTTGCCAAGGAATGAGCTCCTGTAGGTCATGAAGCAACCCTGGCTGACTCCGCAGAGAAAGAGCCTTGCCGTAACAGAGAACAGAGCTCATGCACGCACACTTCGACTCACTGACTCATTCAGCCACGGCCCCATGCTCAGGCTGTGCAGTGTGGAACCTTTTCCTATTGTTGCCATAACAAATTTCCACAAGATTCGTGGGTGAAAACAAAACGGTTTTTTAATTATCTTACAGTGCTGTAGCTCAAAGTAGGAAGTGCATCTTACTGGGCTAAAATCAAGGTGACAGCAAGGCTGCCTTCCCTCTGAGGATTCCAGGCACGAATCTGCTTCTCACTTGTCCCAGCTTCTAAAGGCTCCCAGTTCCTTGGCTCCTGGTCCCCTTCCTCCTTCCTCAAAGCCCACAAAGACTGGTCACATCTCACATGGCATCACTCAGTGCCTTCTTCCTTACCACACCTCTTTCTCTGAGTGCTGCTCTCCCTTCTTCCTCATCTTTTGAAAACTTGGGGATTCTATTGGGTTCACCAAGATGAAAATCCCTCATAATCTCCTGGAAATCATCCAGGATACCCTTGTTTTAAGTTCAGCTGATTAGCAACCATAATTCCATCTGCAATCTTCATTCCTCCTTTCCATGTAAAATAACATATTCACAAGCTATGGAGGCTAGGACAGGGACATTTTGGGGTGGGACAGCATTCTCCTGCCTTCCACAAACAGTGAACAAGATGCATTTGGCCTCTGCCCTTGGGACACTGATATTGCAGATGGTTAAATGGGAGGGCAGAAAATGAACGCACAAGTGGATCTATAAATGAATGATCCATTGGGAAGCATCTGTGCATGAAATCTATTTTTTGTTTGTTCTTTTGTTTATTGAGACAGAGTCGCCCTCTGTCTTCCAGGCTACAGTGCAGTGTCACGATCTTGGCTCACTGCAACCTGCGTCTCCTGGATTCAAGTGATTCTCCTGCCTCCGCCTCTCGAGTAGCTGGGATTACAGGCAACTGCCACCGTGCCCGGCTAATTCTTTTTGTATATTTTTTGTAGAGAGGATGTTTCACCACGTTGGCCAAGCTTGTCTGAAACTCCCAACCTCAAGTGATCCGACCGTCTCAGCATGCCAAAGTAATGGGACTACAGGCGTGAGCCACTGTGCCCAGCCAGAATTCAAAATCAATAATAGATAATGCTGAGTGTATGATTTCAGGTGACAAAGAAGGTCTCACTATTCAGATATTTGTGACATTAATGAAAAACACGGAATGAACCCCTGAAAGATTGGCGGAAGGATTTTGCACACACAGCTGTCAGCCATGAAGGCACAAAGGTGAAAACAATCTGATGTGGAAGGAAGAGGCTCTGACTCAAATGCTGGGAATGAGGTGGGGAGAATGACAAGACGACTGTAGAGAGACGGAGAGCACACTGGGTACACAGGAAACTAAGGAGCAACAAGGAGTGTGTGTTTGACACTCACAGCCATTGGATTCACCTCGGGGTAACCAGGAATCCCTACATGATTAATATGACTGACATGAAAATAAGGGAGGCCCAGGTGCATAACTGGAATCTAGGAGACCGTGGAAAAGGCAATTGCCGCCCCACTGGTGAAATGTGGTGCTGATTTAGACACTAAATGAATGAAGTAGATGGATATAAGATATGTTTGTGAGGTAGAATCATTGACTGGAAAGGCTTACTGGGTTTGATTTTCCTACTTGTTTAATCCTCGCTTAATTAATTTCTTTCTGAGATTTATTCATCCTACACATAAATCAATACCTGGCAAAGGAGTGACAGATATATGAGTGGTGGTGGAAATGAAGAGACTTATTATAGCATAATATACAAGTCTGTGAACAGTGGCTCACGCCTGTAACCTAGCACTGCAGGAGGCCAAGGTGGGTGGATTCCATGAAGTCAGGAGTTCCAGACCAGCCTGGCCAACGTGGTGAAACCCTATCTCTACTAAAAATACAAAAATTAGCCGAGCACGATGGTGCATCCCTGTAATCCCAGCTCCTATTCTGGAGGATGAAGCAGGAGAATGACTTCAACCCAGTAGGTGGAGGTTGCAGTGAGTGGAGATTGCATCACTGCACTCCAGCCTGGGGGACACAAGGAGACTCTATCTCAAAAAATAAAAATAAGAAATACATAAATATAATAAAACACACACGAATGACAAAGGCACCTGAATTCCAATCATCGTTTTTCTATTTCTCTATAATTACTTCTTTGATCCTTTATCTTATCCATTAGGCAATGAGCCTAAAACCTCTTCCCTATTTGGCTTTCTGTGAGCATGAGATCATATAGAAAATGTGAAAGCCCGCTGAATCCTCCAGCACAGATCCTGGAATAGAGAAAGTGCTCTGGTCATCACAAAAAAAACTTGCCCACTCACCCAAATCCCCCACCTCACCCCTACTTCCAATCACCTGTGGAGATTCAGATAGACCATGGGGAGGTAAACATTAACACTCCTTGGAGTGAGTCCAGATCTTGGAATCAGAGATCAGCGACAGCACTAGCTCCTGCTCCCCTTTCCTACTAATTCACAGGAGGACAGGTGGTTTTGAAGCAATAGATGGCCGAGGGGGTGGTCCTTCCCCCAGCCTCTCGGGTAGAACAGCAGCCTAATATGTGTCTCCCGAGATCACAAAGAGCAGCAGGTTTCACACGGGCTTCAACACTATTTCCTGGCCGTTTGACATAAGAGAATTCTATTTCGCTTTTTTTATCTTGATTTCACTTTTGTTTTCTTTCCTTGGAGAATGCAAGTTGTTTGATTCAAGAATGCTGTGGATGTAGAAACCCTAAAGCACATTCGCTGTGAATCAATCCCAGTCCAGTCTTCCCAGAGAAGACTCTAAACACCTCCTGGACTGCACCTGGGCCTATGCCAATTCCTATCACTCACCGTCACTCCAGGGAGACAGAACACACAGAGAATACGTTACATAGGCAGGTTCATTACTAACAGATAAGCAGCGAGTGACAACAGAAACCTATATTTCAATGTGACCCAGTCCCTCAAGGCTCAGAAAAGCTCCTCGGGACATATGGAGTCACCCCATTTGCAGTGTAGCTGCGGGAAGCCAGAAAGCAGCCCAGCCTGGGTTTTGTACCCTGGAGCCACAGGAAGCACTCAGCTAAAGCACTGCATGACGTCCTCCAGGAAGAACAGGAAGACAGCCCAGGGTGTTCTGAGACGTTCCTCCTGATCTCAGGAAGTTGCTGTCTTAGGCCATTTTTGTTGCTCTAAAGGAACACTTGAGCCTCGGTAACTTCTAAAGAAAAGAGATTGGTTTGCCTCACCGTTCTGCAGGCTGTACTGGAAGCATGGCACCAGCATCTATTTCTCGTGACGGCCTCAGGCTGCTCCCACTCTGGCAGAAGGGAAGGAGGGTCTGTCTGTGCAGAGACCACAGAGATCACACGGCAAGAGAGGGAGCAAGGGGGAGGGGGAGTGATGGAGCTTCCAAGCTCTTTTTAACAACCAGCTCTCCGGGAACTAATAGAGGGGGAACTTGCTAACCCCGTCTCCTTGGGACAGCATTGATGTGTTCATGATGGATCCACCTCCATGACCCAAACACCTCTCAAGAGGCCCAACCTCCCACAGTGGGGGTGAAATTTCAATGTGAGGTTTGAAGGGGTCAAACATCTCAACTAAAGTAGTCGTATCCTCAGCACGTTCTATGGTTACTATGAGAGCTATAACTGAAAAAGCAGGAGAAAGCTGGGTCTCCTGCCATCTGGGTGCTTGTCCTAAAGAGGTGTTTTATGTGGTTACCTGTCAATCAAGAAATGCGAGACAATTCATAAAGAGGAACTGCTAAGATTAGCTTCTTATTGGTGTCTCATCTTCTTCCAGGTAACCCCCGACACCTGCACATTCTGATTGGGACCTCAGTGGTCATCATCCTCTTCATCCTCCTCTTCTTTCTCCTTCATCGCTGGTGCTCCAACAAAAAAAGTAAGTCTCACGAAGCAGAGGCCAGAGAGCTCAGGGCCATGTGGGGAAGCAGGATGGGAGCACTCAGGTGTGTGTTCCTCACAAACAGGATGGTCCCTGGCCCAAGGCAGCAGCCACAGAGGCAGGACTTTCTAGAGAGGGCACCAGACTCCCTGTCCCTGCCTTCAACTCACAGACCGTTGCCTGATTCTGAACTGTATCCCCATGTCCCCTGCAGCCACTCACATCCAGGAGAAGGTTCCATGACAGGCAGAAAGTGGGAGACAGAATCAATGGGATGGGAACTCAGAGCTATTCATGGGATGGGTCCTTGAGCTCAGAGAGATAGAATGTCTGAGTCTGCTGTTGGCAACTGAGGGACCTCAGCCACCTATGGTCTCCCCCTGTATGTTGGTATCTGCTTATGAAATGAGGACCCAGAAGTGCCCTCCGAGCTGTTTTGTTGACTTCCATCTTCTACAGATGCTGCGGTAATGGACCAAGAGTCTGCAGGAAACAGAACAGCGAATAGCGAGGTAGGTACTCCTCGGCCCGGGCTCGTGGCTACTGTTATTCCCAAAGAGTCCTGGAAAATGTGAGCACCCTCCCTCACTCAGCATTTCCCTCTCTCCAGGACTCTGATGAACAAGACCCTCAGGAGGTGACATACACACAGTTGAATCACTGCGTTTTCACACAGAGAAAAATCACTCGCCCTTCTCAGAGGCCCAAGACACCCCCAACAGATATCATCGTGTACACGGAACTTCCAAATGCTGAGTCCAGATCCAAAGTTGTCTCCTGCCCATGAGCACCACAGTCAGGCCTTGAGGGCGTCTTCTAGGGAGACAACAGCCCTGTCTCAAAACCGGGTTGCCAGCTCCCATGTACCAGCAGCTGGAATCTGAAGGCGTGAGTCTGCATCTTAGGGCATCGATCTTCCTCACACCACAAATCTGAATGTGCCTCTCTCTTGCTTACAAATGTCTAAGGTCCCCACTGCCTGCTGGAGAAAAAACACACTCCTTTGCTTAACCCACAGTTCTCCATTTCACTTGACCCCTGCCCACCTCTCCAACCTAACTGGCTTACTTCCTAGTCTACTTGAGGCTGCAATCACACTGAGGAACTCACAATTCCAAACATACAAGAGGCTCCCTCTTAACGCAGCACTTAGACACGTGTTGTTCCACCTTCCCTCATGCTGTTCCACCTCCCCTCAGACTAGCTTTCAGTCTTCTGTCAGCAGTAAAACTTATATATTTTTTAAAATAACTTCAATGTAGTTTTCCATCCTTCAAATAAACATGTCTGCCCCCATGGTTTCGGTAATGGGACTCTTTTCTTGCCTAAGGCTTCCGGTGTTATCAGTACCATGTCCATATAATCCCATCTGTTCCCCACTGAGTTCTCATCCCCGGACTCTGAGTTTCTGGAAGCAGGGTGGAGCCTCATTTGTCTCTGGGACTCCAATTTCCATCCAAAGATGTAGCACATAGGAGGTTCCAAGGATCACGAATCATATGAACAAGTGATACTCTTACTCTCTGCAGACCTGGAAAGCTGGCAGAGTCATTCCACAATGAAACATTTGTAGAATCATAGGCCTTGTTAGTCTCATCTCCATGGGGACACATATCAACACATCATCTTTCATAATATAAATATACGGTCACTCCTCCATATCTGCGGGGTTTACAGGTGTTTATTGAACCAAGTATAAATCAAAAATATTGAGAGAAAGTATCCACAGAGTTTCAAAAAGCATAACTATGTTGAATGGACACAAATGAAGCTGTGTGTAGGCTGTATCAGGAATTATAAGTAATCTAGAGATGATTTCATGTATACAGGAGGATGTGCATAGGTTATTTGCAAACGCTGTGCCATTTCATATAAGAGGCTTGAGCATCTACAGATTTTGGTATCTGAGTGGAGATCTCAAAACCAATCACCCACGAATAGTGAAGGATGACCGTATATGACTTTTATTTCTCAAATTTAAATATAAATCATAAAAAATGTACAACTAGATAAAAACTAAGAAGTGTTTTTATAGTGTGAGTTAGATTTATTTTTTCCTAGGTGTAACCAATTGGTTTAATATTATTTATTGAGAAGACATTCTATGCCACCTTAAACCACACGGCAGCCTTTGTCAACTCTAAAGGGACTGTGTGTACATGGATGTATTTTAGACACTGTTTCTGCTAAGGGGCTCTCTGTGTCCACACTCTTGATGATGCTGCACTTTATGTAGCCTTATAGAACCCTTTAAATTTAGTAGCCAGAGCCCTCTAATTTGTTATTATAGGCTGTTTGCTTTTTTTTTCTTGAGGCGGAGTCTTGCTCTGTCGCCCAGGCTGGACTGCAGTGGCACAATCTCAGCTCACTGCAACCTCCGCCTCCCAGGTTCAAGCGATTCTCGTGCCTCAGCCTCTTGAGTAGCTGGCGTTACAGGTGCCTGCCACCAGGCACGGCTAATTTTTGGATTTTTAACAGAGACACGGTTTCACTATATTGGCCAGGCTGCTCTCAAACTCCTTATCTCAGTTGATCCGCCCACCTCGGCTTCCCAACGTGCTGGGGAAAACTTGATTTTCTATAGCATTATGTTACTGGATATTTCTGTAAAATTTAAAACGAGGGAGGGAGAGAGACAGACAGAGAGCAAACTCCAGAGTTGGGACTCTGGAATCTTGGGTCATGAGACAAATTTTAGATTAAACTACAAAACTCCAGAATTTACAGGTGTGGTTTTTGCTGATAAAGTACAATTCTAAGATTGTAAATAATTGCATAATCCTTCCCTGGGAATTTAAATCATTTTAGCTGGTTCTGCTGTAATACTAGAAATACAAGCATGAAAAATTCTAATGGTTTATTAGTCACAATGACTCCGAAAACATTAATAATACCTATTAGATACTTTGCATATTACACAGGAAGAAGAGTTTGAATCTCAGATAAAAACAAAAAAAATACATGAAAAGTCTTTCATGTTAGCACAGATTTTAGGCATCTCGTGTTCGGATAAAAATACATGAAAAGTCTTTCACGTTAGCACAGATTTTAGGCATCTTGTGTTCGGGAGGTTGGATCTGAGACGTGTTGTGAGTTGGTCATAGTGAAGGACGTGAGGTGCCAATTCTAGTGAGAACAATTTCCAGGAAGCCGTGTTCCGCTCTTGAGCAAGCATCCACTGGGCCTCATGCAAGGTAGAAAGAGCCTGCGTATGTCACCCTCCCATGATGTAGTCAACATGTAAGCTGCATGGGCAGGGCGCCAAATAACATCCTGTGCGCTGCTGAGCTGAGCTGGGGCGCGGCCGCCTGTCTGCACCGGCAGCACCATGTCGCTCATGGTCGTCAGCATGGCGTGTGTTGGTGAGTCCTGGAAAGGAATAGAGGGAGGGAGTGCCACATCCTCCTCTCTAAGGTGGCGCCTCCTTCTCCCCCAGGTGGTCAGGACAAGCCCTTCCTCTCTGCCTGGCCCAGCCCTGTGGTGTCTGAAGGAGAACATGTGGCTCTTCAGTGTCGCTCTCGTCTTGGGTTTAACGAATTCAGTCTGTCCAAAGAAGACGGGATGCCTGTCCCTGAGCTCTACAACAGAGTATTCCGAAACACCGTTTTCATAGGCCCTGTGACCCCAGCACATGCAGGGACCTACAGATGTCGGGGTTCACACCCACACTTCCTCACTGGGTGGTCAGCACCCAGCAACCCCCTGGTGATCATGGTCACAGGTCAGAGGGCTCCTGTCTGGGATTCTCCTTGTCCCACCTCCTGAGTCCCAGAGCTTCTGGTGGGAGTGTCCACCAGCGTCCCATCATCCAGACCCTAACTGTATTTGGGGTAAAAGGGGATTGAATACAGGGAAATGGGTGCTGTGGTGGAAAGAATAATTGTCCCCAATGATGACTGCATTCTAATCCCTGCAGTCTGTGACTATTTATGTTATAGGGGAAGGCACTGAAGGGGAAGATGGAGCTCAGGTTGTTGAGTTGACCTTGAGATGGGGAGACAGCCTGGACTGTCCTGCTGGGCTCAGTGTAATCACAAGGGTGCACATGAGAGGAGAAGGAAGAGGGGAGTGGCGATTAGAGCAGTGCAATGGAAGTCTCCATCAGCTTTGAAGGTGGAGGAAGGCCATGAGCCATGAATGCAGGTGGCCTATAGAGGCTGGAAAAGTCAAGGAACTGATTCTCCTGGGTCTCCAGAGGGAACGCAGCCCTGCAGATGCCTTGATTTTAGCCCTCAAAAAACAGGGTCCGATTTCTGTCTCCAGAAACGGAAGGGGTCAGTGTGCTCTCTCCTGCTGCCATGCTTCTGATAATTTTCCACAGCACCAACAGGAAACCAACACTGGAACCCAGGTCAAGGACAAGATAAGAAAGGACACAAGGATAGCCGGGCGTGGTGGCAGGTGCATGTAATCCTAGCAACTCAGGAGGCTGAGGGCAGGAGAATCACTTGAACCCAGGAGACAGAGGTTGCAGTGAGCCTAGACCACACCACTTCACTCCAGCCTGGGTGAAGGAGTGAGACTCTGACTCCAAAATTAATTAATTAATTAAAGAAACCAAACAAAGAGAAGGTTGGCTACACCGAGATCAGCAAGGGTGGGATGATGATGCCACCACCAGGCTCCATCCACATAGGGAGGGGTTGATACTCCTCAAACCAGCACCAGAAGCCAGCCTATGGAAGCTGGCACCATGGAGAAGGCACAGGCATGGCAAGAGTGGCTCCCAGTCCCCACCAGGAACAGGGTGTGTGGACACTGGTGCCTGCCTTACTGATCAGTTCATACCTTCTGCCAAGGATTCCAATTCGTCCAAAAGAGATTGAACCAGTCTGCTAAGAGCCTGGACGTGCAGCCTATCCTGGTTCCTCTTCCACCCCCACATAGAAGCAGGAAAGACATTAGTTCGAAATAGATACAACAGCCCAAGAGATGAGGCTGAGCCCAGCGGCAAGGGAATCAGGAGCTACTAGAGACAGAGGGACAGAGAAGAGGGAGGGAGACAGATGGAAGGACCTGTACCAGGAGTTATGGGCACAGAAAAGAACATGAAGACACAGAGAGGAAGGAGAGAGATAAGACACCAGCGAGGGGAAGCCTCACTCATTCTAGGTGCCATGGATGGGATGATAAAGAGAGATGCCTTCTAAAGTCACAACCTCTCTTCCTAGGAGTCCACAGAAAACCTTCCCTCCTGGCCCACCCAGGTCCCCTGGTGAAATCAGAAGAGACAGTCATCCTGCAATGTTGGTCAGATGTCATGTTTGAGCACTTCCTTCTGCACAGAGAGGGGAAGTTTAATGACACTTTGCGCCTCACTGGAGAGCTCCATGATGGAGTCTCCAAGGCCAACTTCTCCATCGGTCGCATGACGCAAGACCTTGCAGGGACCTACAGATGCTACGGTTCTGTTCCTCATTCCCCCTATCAGTTGTCAGCTCCCAGTGACCCTCTGGACATCGTGATTACAGGTGAGAGTGTCTGGACATTATTCTCATTGTCACTGGGACACAGAGTGAATGATCCACGACTTGGAGGCCCAGGTGGTTATAAGGAAGATGAGCTTGGTATTCTTATGGAGAGAGACTAACTTGGTGAGGTCTGTACCAACAGAGACAGAGAAACAGGAGACACAAGTACAGACCAGGTGTCATAACAGAGGACAGACACAGGGGCCATACAGGGAGTTAGAAAAGACAGAAAGAGTTAAAGGAGACACAGACAGACATGTGCCAGAGAGAGGTGTCCTTCCATGCTGACTTTGCTCAGAGACCTGGCACAGGTTAGAAGTTTCATTTCTGTTTTACTTCCACAAAGTGTTCTCTACCAGAAGAACCCAAGGACACCCATATTTCTGGCCTGAGTTGGGCCCTGTGGCCTCAGGCCTTCTGGCACCTACAGATGCCGTGTTTATTCTGACACCTCTGCCTTCCATGCAATGGAGAGTAATCGTCCCAGGATATCATGGCCCCAGAACATCAACCCCTGTATACTGTGTGAACTTGCGGTCCCCAGACTGGATTCTGAGGCTCACATTCCAAATAACCCCACATATGAGAGGATCACTGAGAGACACAGAGAGAAATCAGGGACACCAAAAAGCAAAGACATAAACACACAGAGAATGAGCCAGAGGAAGGAGATTGAGAGACTCACAGACACATAAAGAGGGAGAAAAGAGGGCAGAGAAGTGGAGAGAACAATGGAAGGGAACAGAGAAAAGCACTAAAATTAGAGTCCTGAGGGAGAGACACAAGGACATAGAAAGATGGAGATGTGGGGATGAATTGCAGAGATTCCAAAGAGAACTAGAGAGACCGAGAGGCAGAGCAAGACAGATGATAGATGGATAGATATAGATAGATGATAAATAGGTAGATGATAGATAATAGGTTATAGATACATAGATGATGATTGATTCATTCATTGATTAATCGATGATACATAGAGATGATGAAGATGAAGATAGATAGATAATACATAGAGATAGAGAGGCAGACAAAGAGAAATCATAGAGAGAGAGAGACGATACATAGATATAGATAATAGATGATTTTTGGATAGACAATTGATAGATAAATAGATTATATATAGATATAGATGACAGGTAGAGAATTTGTAGATAGGCACCAAATAGATAAATAGATATATCGATAGATAATAGATAGAAATATGCAGAAAGTTATGAACAGGACACAAAGTGAGAAACTCAGAATTTAAAAAAAGTAACATCAAGTCAACTAGTCCAAGGAGAGTCAGAGAGAATAAAACAATCCAAAAAGGGAAAACATATCTAGAGGTGAGAAAGTGAGGTCAGAGACCTAGAGAGACAGAGAAGGTGGAAAGAGGAAATAGACATAAAGAGAGATGGTGTGGAGGGTGAGACAGAGAGAGAGAGCATTAGGCCATAGAGCAGGGGAGTGAGTTCTCAGCTCAGGTGGGAGGGGAGTTGTGACAAGGAAGAACCTCCCTGAGGAAACTGCCTCTTCTCCTTCCAGGTCTATGTGGGAAACCTTCTCTCTCAGCCCAGCCGCGCCCCATGGTTAAGGCAGGAGAGAGCGTGACCTTGTCCTGCAGCTCCCGGAGCTCCTATGACATCTACCATCTATCAAGGGAGGGGGAGGCTCATGAACTTAGGTTCCCTGCAGTGCCCAAGGTCAATGGAACCTTCCAGGCCAACTTTCCTCTGGGCCCTGCCACCCACGGAGGGACCTACAGATGCTTCGGCTCTTTCCGTGACTCTCCCTACGAGTGGTCAGACCTTAGTGACCCACTGCTTGTTTCTGTCACAGGTGAGGAAACCAGTCTGTTCCCCAAATAGTGGGACTCAGATGGACTACAATGGCCACATTCAGGGGAGCCTCAGATGGAGGGGGTGGCCATGGGGGTGTCAGCCAGAGATGCTGGACAGAAGAGACACAAAGCAAACATACAGAAAGAGGCATAGACAGACAGACAGAGCGAGGCAGACAGATCACATTAGGGTTTGGGGTGGTAACTGCAACCCTACCTGAAGCTTGCAGATAGAGCACAGGCCACATAAACCACTTCCCAGTCTTTGTACAGAAGCCCACCTGGGACACATGTAAACAGCATCAATGCTGACTCAGGAGCATGAAAGGCCGGGCTCAGATTGGAAAGACTAGAGGTAGCATTGGCCGCCCGCCATTGCCCATTTCCAGAAGCCCCCACCTCTCACCAAAGAGTGATTTCCACATGGGGGGCACAGATGCAACCATCGTTGGGGGAGCCCCAATGTCTCTTGATGGGAGGCATTTTCCACCCTAGATGTTTTTTGCTCTCTCCACACCTTGGAGACTCAGTGGGGGAGTCTTCTCTGGGGACTCGGGGAGGGCCTCCCTGGGACTCGCAGGATTTCCAAGCTAGATGACAACATGACAGGTGGAAACAGGCCCATTCCTTCGCCAGGGGCCCCAAGCTCCATCCCAGGAGATGAGAAGAGGCTCTTCTCATTGGTCAGTGGATCCCTGAGGGGACAGAGGCTCAGCACTGAAGGCTGAGAAGGATCTGCCACTTCGCTCAGTGGCCTCAAGCCAGACATCTTCCCTACAGACTTGCAGTGATTCTCCATCAGCATTTAGGGCTGTGGCCACCAACCTGGGTGTTGGTCTGTAGGAACTTTTCATTTCTGACCTTCCATAACTGAGTTCTCTTCCTAAATGTGGAATGCCTTGTACTCCATGTTACTCTCTCCCCAGAAAGAATGTGTGGCTTGTCTGCTCTCCAGCCCTGTCATGGAGATTGATAATCCTTAGGGAGCAAGAGGAGAGGGAAAGAACAAAGTATGAGACCACCTAGGTGCTACTGGTTGAGGTTCCATTTGCCAGTGAAGGGACTTCACTCAGCCGAGGGGGCAACTCAGGGAAGTCAGCCGAGGGAGGGCATTAGAGTAGAGAGAACTGAGCTCACCCAGTAAATGACCCCTTCACTAACTCATTCATCTAATATTTATTTCACACCTACCATCAGTTCTCTCTGTTTCATGGCCAGGAGTAGACAGCACGGCCAAGCTCCTGGGTTCATGATGCTCACATTGCTGTGGGGTGGGAGAGAGAGGCAGAACATGAATGAATGAATGAGAGAATGAATGAATGAGTGAATGATGGAATGAGTGAATGAATGAATGAATGAATGTATGAATTAGTGAGTGAATCCTTAGCACTTGGTGAAAGTGCCATGCACAGAATGAAATGAATGAACGTGGAACGTTGTCATTTGGAGTGTACAGGAGGGAACGTCTCACTGAGACCTCATCAGAGAGATCACATTTAAACTCCGATCTTAGAGACAAGAGGGAGTGAGCCCTGGGGAGTGTGTTGAAAGGAACTTTCATGGACTTAGGACATTGGGGATGACCCTAATGTGAGAATGAGCTTGGTGTGTTCCAAGAAGTCCATGGACCTGCCATATGGTGAGGGCTGGTCAGAATCCAGAGAGATTTCTAAATGCCCTTGTGCTTGTAAGGAAAGTGAGTCCTGTGGTTGGGAGTGGACTTATACCTTGGGTCAGGTCCAGCAATTATCTTTCTAAATCCTCTCTAATTGCCTGAACCACTTCTATCAACAACTGAGAAAAGAGGAGTGTTAAACACCCCACTGTGGCCGTGGATTTGCCTACCTGTCCATTTATTTCCGCGACTCTTCCTCCATGTATATTTGCAGGAATATTACTGGGAGTGGTTAAGTGTAAACTGATTATATATTCCTGGTAAATTTAAAATGCTATAAATTTACCTGCTTTTTTCCTACATTTTATGCTTAATGTTTTCCGCTGATTTTTCCCAAAGACTAATTTTGTCTAATTTTAATATAGTTATACCACATTTCTAACAGTGATTGCTTGGTATATTTCTACATTGTTTAATTTCAAACTCCATGAATTGTTAACATTGAGATGTGTCCTTTGTAAATTTCAAACAATTCGCCTTAGAAAGTAAGACTTTCTGACAATCTTTTGTTCATGTTTGAGCAGTTCTTCCAATCATATTTTTGTTATTATTACGTTGTGTTTTCCTGATTCCCTTTTTTTCCCACTGACTTCTGTGGTTTTCTATTTCAAACATTCTATTTTTGATCTATGTCGTTTAGGAATACATATATGGTGTACTCATCCTGAAGTTGTTACATATTTTTAAAATTGAAATTAATCATTTCAGAGATTAAACTGCAAATATAAAAACATATTTCCACTCTTCCTGTGTAAGAACAGGATTTTAGAGCATATTTAGTACATATGTTTGTATTTACTTATATGATGTTTTGTTTTGTGGTATACATAATTCTATCTTTTTCAGAAATTACACAGGGGCGTGTTTTCATACACTATCGTATGGTCCATATTCATTTTTGGCATAGCCATATTTTTAGTTCTTCCTCTGCTCTTAGTTATTGTCAGAATCTTCGACACCCCATCTGGTTTCACTTTCTTTATCTTTGAGGCACGGTCATCAGAATTTCCTTTAGGGTCAGTGAGAAAAGCTTTCTTTGCCCTTTTGTCTTTCAGTTCTGTTTCTTTCCTGCGTTGATCTTGGACAGTAACTGTACTATGTAAGGAATTGTCGGTGGCTGGCGACGGTATCTTAGCTGGGTAAAGATGCTATTCTACTGGCTTATGTTTTCCTTTTTTCTGTGGGGAAGACAATGCTTGGCTCCCTATAAATCCTTACCAGCTGATCCTTTTCCTCTGGCTAATTTTAAGGGTTGGTTGTGCTTTTATGCTGCTTTTCTGTAATGTTGAACGTGAGGTGTGTTTACTTCATTCTGCCTGGCATTCACTGGATTTCTTGAACCTGTGGATTGATGGATGTGTCTACTTCCTCCAAATAATCAACAATTGCCTCTTTAAAGATTGCTTCTGACCTGTTTTCTCGTTCTTTCTTTTTGGAACTCAAGTTAGGAGCATTCTAAAACTGTTGTCAATTTTTACCCTGTCACAAAACTGCTCTTTCTTGTTTCAGTTATTTGCTTTTTCTGTGCATTAATATTGATGGTTTCCTCTGTCATAGAGGATAAATACTCTCTTCACTGTTGTGTACACAACATTTTAACTAGTTATTCTGGTTTAAATTTAATATTGACTTTATCTACATATCACAATTGATTACTGTGTACAGACTTTCTTTTCTATTAGTATAAATTTATGAGGTACACTTGTAATTTTGTGACATGAGTATGTTGCAGAGTAGTGAAGTCAGGACTTTTACTATATCCATCACCCAAATACCGTACATTGTACTCATTAAGCAAATTCTCATCACTCACCCACGTCCCGCCACCCTCCAGCCTTCTAGCCTCCGCTGTCCGTCATTCCACACTCTACGTCCATATGTACACATTACTCCCCTCCCATGTAGAGTGAGAAGATGTGGTATTTGTCTTTCTGAGTGGTTTTATGTAAAATAATGGCGTCCAGCTCCATCTATGTTGCTGCAAAAGACATGGTTTTATTTTTATGACCAAATAGTATTTCGTTGTGTATACACGCATCCTTTTTTTAATCCAATCATTCATTCACAGACACTTAGATTGATTTCATATCTTTGCTATTGCAAACAGTGCTGCAATAAACATACAGGTGCAGGTATTTTTTGAGTAGATACCCAGCAGCGGGACCCCTAGATCGAATGGTGCTTCTATTTTTGGTTCTCTGCCAAATTTCCATACTGTCTTCCATAGAGGCTATACTAATTTACATACCGGCCAACAGTGTATAAGAGTTTCCTTTTCTCTGCATCCTTGCCAACACCTGTTATATGTTTCACTTTTTCTTTTTTTCTTTTTGAGATGGAGTCTTCCACTGTCACCCAGGCTGGAGTGCAGTGCCGCCATCTCCACGCGCTGCAACCTCCACCAACCAGGTTCAAATGATTCTCCTGCCTCAGCCTCCTGAGTAGCTGGGATTACAGAACCACACCACCATGCCCAGCTAATCTTTTGTATATTTAGTAGAGATGGGGTTTCACTATGTTGGTCAGGCTGGTCTCAAACTCCTGACCTCATGATCCACCCGCCTCAGCTTCCCAAAGTGCTGGGATTACAAGCGTGAGCCACCACTCCCCACCAGCATTTTTAGTAATAGCCATTCTGACTACTGTAAGATGATATCTCATTGTGGTTTCAATTTGCATTTCTCTGATGATTAGTGATGTTCATACGCTGTTTGGCCATTCGTATGTCTTCTTTTGAAAAATGTCTATGTATATCCCTTTGCCCACTTTTTAATGCTATTATTTGAGGGGTTATGTTTAGTTGTTTGAGTTGCCTAGAAATTCTGGATGTTAGTCCTCTGTTGGGTGCATAGTTTGCAAACATTTCCATTCATTCTGTGGGTTGTCTGTTCACCCTGCTACTATTTCCTTTGCTTGGCAGAAGCTCTTTCGTTTATTAAGTCCCATTGGTCTAGTTTTATTTTTATTGCCTGTGCTTTTGAGGTCTTAGTGATGAATTCTTTGCCCAGACCAATGCCCAGAAGAGTTTCTCTTTGGGTTTCCACCGGTGATTTTATAGTTCTGGATTTACATTTAAGCTGCTAATTACCTTAAGTTAATTTATGTGTATGATTACAGATACAGGTCCAGTTTTATTCTTCTGCATATGGCTATTTAGTTTTCCCAGCACCTTTTATTGAAAAGGAAATCTTTCTCCAGTGTATGTTTTGTTAACGTCGTCAATGATTATTCACTGTAGATATGAGGCTGTATTTCTGGGCTCTCTATTCTGGTCTATTGATCTCTGTTTCTGTGTCTATACCAGCACTGTGCTATTTAAGTTACTATAGCCTTAGAGCATAGTTTGAAGTCAGATAGCGTGATGCCTCCAGGTTTCTACATTCACCTAGAATTGCTTTCTCTATTAGGATCTTTTTTGGTTCTGTATGAATTTTAGGATTGCTTTTTCTAATTCTGTGAAAGCTGGTGTTACTATTTTCATATAAGAATTGCACTGAATCTGTAGATTGCTTTAGGCAGTATGGTCATTTTAACAATATTAATTCTTATGATCCATGAGCGTGGGATTTTTTTTCTTTTTTTTTTTTTGTATTATCTATAATTGCTTTCATTGGTGTCTTACACCTTTCCTGGTACAGCTCTTTCACCACCTTGGTTAAATGTATTCCTGAGTGTTTTAATTTTGCGTATCTATTGTAAACGGCATTGCCTTCTTGATTTGGTTCTCAGCTAGATCATTATAGGTGTAGAGAAATGCTACTGGCTTTTACATATTGATTTTGTATTCTGAAACTTTACTTAGTTCATTTATCAATCATAAGAATTTTTGGCAGGGTCTTTAGGATTTTCTAGATTTAAGATCATAGCATCAGAAATAAAAATAATTTTACTTCCTCTTTTCTAATTTGGATTTTTAATTCTTCCTGTTGCCCAATAGCTCTGACAAGGCTTCCAGTACTATGTTGATAGGAAGTGGTGGATGTCCGTGTCCTTGTCTTGTGCCAGTTCTCAGAGGAGTGCTTTTAACTTTTCCTGTTCAGTATGATGTTGACTCTAGATATGTCATCTATGGCTTTTATTATTTTGAGGTATGTTCTTTCTATGCCTAAGTTTTTGAGGGTTTTCATCAGGTAAGGATGTTGAATTTCTTTTCAGATGCTTTTCTTTATGTCTATTGAGATGATCATATGGTTTTTGTTCTGGATTCTGCTCGTTCTTCTAAGTGGATGAGACATGCCAGAAAAGCATTTAGTCAGCCATCTTGGAAACAAGCATCTCAGATGTTTTCTTTCTCTATAGCTCATTCTTTCTTACCAGTGTTTTCAATTTTGTACTTAATTTTGTAAAGAGAGTAAATGATATAATTTCCACATATGTTTCCTCTGCCAAATCAGACTCACTATGCTTCCTTTCCTTGTATGCATAACCTACCCAGCAATACACACAAACATTTATTGCTTTGGAGAATTAGTTTGGGAACATTTTTGAAATGTACAAAAAAATGTATATCTTCAAAAGAAATTTCTTTTTGTGGCAAAAGACTTCTGAAGGTGCTCATGATGATATAGGGAGAAGAGGGGTTCTGGACAGGAAGAATTTTATGAAGGTGAGATGGGGAAATAGCTCCATTTCAGAGCTTCTGGGGAGAGAGGGGCCTGGCCCACATGGAAAGGTCTCTGATCTTACCCCCACCCTCCAGCCCCTGTTCTCCAGAACTATACTGTGGAGAGTTCCATCAGGATTGTTGTGGCTGGTCTGGTCTTCCTGGCTCTTTTGGCAATGCTGGCTAAGACCTGGTGGAGACATGAGGGGCCACAGGTGGAAATGGAAGAAACATGACTGAAGCTGGCTGGAGTGAATGGCGCGACATTCTGTCTGTGGGAGATTGGCCAGATGGGTTTCAAGTGTGTTGTATCAGCTGTGACTTTTAGTAATGTTCTTGCTACCACAATATCCACTCGTCCATCCCGAATAATTGTGATGAAATATTGTCCTTGGGATAATATTCATTTGCTAAAGACAGGGATGATACCTCAAGGTGCCACTATATACATCGAGGGGATCCACAAAAGTCCATTCAGTAAAATGTAGTTGGCATCTTAGGGTAGGTTGATTCCACCTCTAAAAAAGTAGGTACAACATCAGGTTGATTTTTCCGAAGAAAAGTGGTGATTGGCCATCTTTAGTCTCAATGTAAACGGTAATACTGATGAGTGTGGAAAAGGCAGGGAAGAGGATTGACAATAAGTGACACTCATTGTTTTCATCTGAGCTTTGAGACTGAAAGAGGAACACAGGAGTGAGATGTATGGGAACAAACCCCTTCTTTTTCCAGCTAAACAGAGTGGAAGTTGGACACTGAGTTTTGGCGTACAGCAAAATCCTAAGTCCATTGTTGGGTTGAACACGGCCATGTTGTACATCCTGGTTTCACAGCAGACACTGGAGGAAAACAGCCTGTATTCATAAGAGGCTGTCCCTCGGGTCACTGCCCAGAATATCCGGAGTTGGTGCTCACAGGGTTGGGAACTCTCCTGGACCAGACAGGCTCTGGATATGGGGGGGTACCAAGCTCCCCGGGGCCATGCCTCCACAGCTCTCTTCTCACCTCATTCTTGACCATTTCCCAAACCTCTGACCTCACCTTCATTCATCCATGGTGAACACGCTAAAGCTGGCCTTCAAAGCTTGAGACAGAGGAAAATTGGGCTTCATCTCTGGGAACTAAATTGGGGAGTGGAGACTCAGTTCTGGCCTGACAGGAGGGAGAAGACCCTGGATCCCAGTGTGGATGGGAAGAAGTATGTGTTTCTCTTTTGTGCTTGGACCCTGTGTCCAAGCATGTCTGAGATGTGATGAAGATGAATCTTCCTTTCCTTGTCTATTTTCTCATGCCAGAGAATTGGAATCTTATATTCCATTAACTCTTTCTGTTCTGTTCATCCAGATTCTATGAAGGAGAAAGGAAAAGATGTGATACTGTAATTTTGCTCCATTTGTCTAAAATGAGTAGGCTGCAACTCCTCTTGAAGTGATACCTTTTCTAGCTCTTGTTGGAGGTGTCTCAGGACTCATTACTTCGGGGAACCTGCAACTGTGTCAGTCTGGGGAAACTGCAAATATTCTTGTCTTACATTTGTCTCCAGCCAATTGTGATGGACTCCAGTGACCTGCAATTGCTGTTATTGCAGGTAAAATGTACCTGAGTCAGGCCACAGTTCTCCTGGACTATGAGCCCCTGGCCATGTTCCTGAGGCAATTCTGTTCATCTAAATATAATAATAATAACACACTAAAAATGGCAAGCCATTGTTAATTCCTGAAGTCTCATTTGAAAATTACTAAATGTCTGTTATTTTTTGGTGTTTACATTATATGTAGACAGATAAACTACACACACACACACACACACATGCACACAGAAGAATGGATTGGTTCATGTAGAAAAGTAAATAATTCAAGATGAAAGGATGAAATGTCATGGCACCTACTATTCTATTTTAGATAAAGGGTCTATGAAAAGATTGATTTCTTTTTATGTTTTATTTGTTGACATTTGAACACAAACTATGTAAGTGAGGGAGTCGATTTGAAAGGGAGAAGAGCAAGTTCAAACACATTCAGGTGAGGTCATGCTTTACATGTTTTAATTGAAATGATCCATCTTGGGAGTAGATCAATAACTGAGATGGTGCCAGGAATGTTAAAAAGCTTTTGTCAGTCCTAAATATTGACAAATAAAATTTAATTAAAGTCTTAGAAGAAAACACAAAGGAAAACTTCACAACATCGGATTTGGCAGTGATTCTTTAGATGTGACAACAACGGCACAGGCTACTACAGAAAAAATAAACAAGTTAGACTTTATGAAAATTTTGAAATATTGTGACTCAAAAGACAACATCAGTTACTTCACATGGCAAGGAAAAAGAACTTTTAAGACGATATTATCAAAGTAAAAAGACAACCCACAGAATGGGAGAAAATGTTTTCAAACCACACCACCTGTAAGGGATTAACATCCAGAATATACAGACAACTCCTAAAACTCAATCACAATAAACTCAATTCAAAAATGGGCAAAGTACTGAAACAGACATTTCTCCAAAGAACATACGCATGACAAGATATTCAGCATCACGAATCATTAGGGAAATACTAACTAAAACTACACCAGATGCCATTTCATACCCCTTAGGATGGGTATCATCAAAACAACAACAACAACAACAACAACAAAGTTTCTATACATTAACAACAAACTATCCAAAAAAGTTTACAAGAAAATAAGCCCATTTGCAATAACTACAGAAAACAAAACATGCAGGAATAAATTCACCCAAGGAGTAGAAAGATCTGTATGCAAAAGCTATAAAACATTGATGAAAAAACTCAAGAAATAAACAAATAAATCGAAAGATATTCCATGTTCACGGATCAGAAGGATTAATGTTGTTAAAATGTCCATTCTATCCAAAGTGATTCAATGCAACCATTATCAAAAATCCAATGACATTTTTTTTTACAGAAATAGAAAAAACAGTCCTAAAATTCATGTGGAACCACAAAAGATCTCAAATAACCAAAGCCATCTAGAGGGAAAGGAACAAAGTTGGAAGCATCACATTACCTAAACACAAACTACATTACAAAGTTACAGTAATTAAAACAACACAGTACTTGCATAAAAACAGACACATAGACCAATGGAAGTGATTCATAGCCCAGGAAAAAAAATGCACGCATTTAGGGTCAAACAATTTTTGGGATGTATCAAGAACACACAATGGAGAAGGAACAGTCTCTTTAATAAATGGGATTGGGAGACATGCAGAAGAATGGAAGTGGACATTTGCCTCACAAAACATACAAAGTCAACTCAAGATAGATTAATGACTTAAATGTAAGGTGAAAGACTATCATCCCAGCAATTTGGGAGGCCAAGGCGGGCAGATCACCTAAGGTCAGGATTCCAAGACCAGCATGGCCAACATGGTGAAATCCCGCCTCTACTAAAAATACAAAAACAGCTGGGTGTGGTTGTGGGTGCCTGTAATCTCAGCTACTCGGGAGGTTGAGACAGGAGAATCACTTGAACCCAGGAGGTAGAGGTTGCAGTGAGCCGAGATCGCATCACTGCACTCCAGCCGGGGCAACAGAGTGAGACTCCATCTTAAAAAAAAAAAAAACTACTAAAAGAAATCAAGGGAAAACTCCACTGGCTTGGGCAAAACCATTTTGGATATTAACCCAAAGGCCCAGGCAACAAAAGCAAAAGTAGACAAATAACATTATATCAAATTGAAAGTTTCTGCAAAGAAAAAAAAAAACTCAACAAGTGGAAAGACAACCTATGGAATGGGAGAATATATTTGCACCCATACATCTAATAAGGAATTAATATCCAAAATATATAAGAAACTCAAACAACTCAATGGTAAGAAATCAAATAACCCAACTTAAAAAAATGGGCAAAGTATCTGAATAAACATTTCTAAGAATAAGACAAATCACCAAAAGGTATATGAAAAAATGATTAGCATTACTAAACATCAGCTAAATAAAAATTAAAACTAGAATGAGATATCACCTCACACCTCTTAGAATGACCATTAACAGTCTGGGCATGGTGGCTCATGCCTGTAATTCAGGCACTTTGGGAGGCCGAGGCAGGGAGATTACCTGAGGTCAGCAGTTCGAAACCAGCCTGGCCAATATGGTGAAATCCCATCCCTACTAAAAATACAAAAATTAGCAGAGTTTGGTGGCGCACACTTGTAGTCCCAGCTACTCTGGAGACTGAGGCAGGGGAATCGCTTGAACCCAGGAGGCAGAGGTTGCAGTACACCGAGATTGTGCCACTGCACTCCAGCCTGGGTGACAGAGCAAGACTGAGTCTCAAAAAAAAAAAAAAAAAGACCATTATCAAAAACATAAAAAATAACAAGCATTAACGAGGATGTGGAGAAAAGGGAACATTTGTATGCAGTTGATGGGAATGTAAATTAGCACAACCATTATGGAAAACAGTCTGGAAGTTCCTGAAAAAATTAAACATAGAATTCCCATATGTGTCTGCAATCCAACTACTGCGCATGTATCCAAAGGAAGTGGAATCAGTATGTTGAAGAGATATCTGCATTCCCATGTTTACAGCCGCATTATTCATAACAGCCAAGATGTGGAATCACCCTTACTGCCCATCTATGGGTGCATGGACAAAGAAAACGTGGTATACGATAGGAACGTAATGAAGTACTATACAACCTTTACAACAAAGAAGGAAGTCCTCTCATTTGTGACAATGTGAAAAAACTTAGAGGACATTATGTTAAGGGAAACAATCCAGGCACAGAAAGACAAATGCCACATGATCTCATGTGTGGAGTGTAAGAAGTGGAACCTAGAGGAACAGTAAAATGGTCGTCGAAAGAACCTGGGAAGGAGAGAGATTGAAGAGATGTTGGTCAAAGGATGCAAAATTTCAGTTAGAAGAAATCGGTTCAAGAGATCTATTGTATGTCTTGGTGACTCCATTTAATAGCAACATATGGTGTATTGAACATTACTAAGAGATTAGATTTTACATGTTCTCACCACACACACAAAACATACAAGTATGTGAAAAAATAAATAGATAAAGAGGTTGTTTCATCCATTCCACAATGTGTACCTATATGAAAACATCATGATGGACACCACAAATACCCTTTTCCTCATTAATTAAATTTGTTTTGGCTTTTTTTTTGAGACGCAGTTTCACTGTTGTTGCCCAAGCTGAGGTGCAATGGCGTGATCTCCGCTCACTGCAACCTCTGCCTCCCAGGTTCAAGCGGTTCTCCTGACTCAGCCTCCCAAGCAGCTGGGACTACAGTTGCGTACCACCCCGTCCGGCTATATTTGTGTTTCTAGTAGAGACAGGGTTTCGCCATGTTGGCCAGGCTGGTCTCGAACTCCAGACCTCAGGTGATCCACCCGCTTCGCCCTCCCAAAGTGCTAGATTTCAGGCTGAGACACCACACCCAGCCTGTACATTGACTTTCTGCCCTTAAACTGTGCTGAAGTTTGTTTCTCAGATGTAGGAGCCTTTGGGCAGAGACTATGGGGTTTCTAGGTATAGAAATTATCTCATCTTCAAACAGAGGTAATTTGACTACCTCTCTCTGCTACTCTCTTCTTACTTGGATGCCTTATAATTCTTTCTCTTTCCTGATGGCTCTGTCTAGGACTTCAAGTACTATGTTGAATAGGATGGTGAGAGTGGGCATTCTTGTCTTGTTTCACTTATGAAGGGAACTTCTTCCAGCTTTTACTCATTCAGTATGATGTTGGTTGTGGGTTTGTCATAGGCGGCTCTTATTATATTGAGTTATGTTTCTTCAATGCTTAGCTTGTTGAGGGCTTTTAACATGAAGAAATGCTTAGTAAAAAGTATGTTCTACATGTGTGTTGAGAAGATCATGTGGTTTTTGTTTTTAGTTTTGTTTAGGTGATGAATCACATGTATTGATTGTGTATGTTCAACCAACCTTGCACCCTAAGAATAAAGTTGACTTGATCATGGTGGATTCACTTTTTGATATGCTGCGGGATTCAGTTCTTAGTATTTTTTGTGGATTTTTGCATCTATGCTCATCAGGAATATTGGCATGTAGTTTTCTTTTGTTTAATATTCTTTTCTGTCTTTAGTATCAGGGTGATGCCAGCCTTATAGAATGAGTAAAGGCCACCCTGGGCAAACAGTGAGACCCATCCCTTTTTAAAAATTATGAGTTTTACAAATTTAAAATGCATAGTGAAAAAGTTCTTACAAACTCCAGAAAGGTAGGTGTAAATAAGAGACATTTGTAAGAATGACAGCACATTAAATGTGTAGATTTCAACCTTCAGTTATTGCAATATTCCAGTATCAAGTTGGAGGATGTTATCAGTCTGATATTTTTTCCTCAAATGAGAGAGAGAAAGAAAGACACACAAACAACACAGGGAGAAAAAAAGCACACGTTACAGAGAGACAAAAAGGGAGACAGGGAACTGTGAATTTGGACTCTTGTGTCATAAGACAAATTCTAGATAACACGACCAGACCTTCAATTGACATATTGTGTTTTTGCTAATAAGGTGGAATTCTATGATGCGAAATAACTATATAGTCTTTTCTACTGGGATTTAAATCATTTTATCTGTTTCTGGCTTAACAGGAAAAATACAACCATGGAAAATTATGATGATTTATTTAATACGATTGCTCTATAGTGTTAATAAAACCTATTAGGTATTTTGCATATTACATATCAAGGAGAGTTTGAATCTCAGGTAGAAACAAAAAAAAATACATCAAAAGTTCCTCATGTGAGTGCAGAATTCAATCGTCCCGTGCAGGGGTAAGTGAGTCTGAGATGTGTTTTGAGCCTGGCCGTTGCGCATGATGTGAACTGACAAGTCTAGTCTGCAGTTTTCAGAAACCCTCATTCCTCCCTTGACTGACTCACCACTTGAACCTCATATGACGTAGAAGAAGCCTACCTATGTCCCCTTCACATGTTGTGGTCAATGTGTCAACTGCACGATCCGGGCCCCTCACCACATCCTCTGCACCGGTCAGTCGAGCCGAGTCACTGCGTCCTGGCAGCAGAAGCTGCACCATGTCCATGTCACCCACGGTCATCATCCTGGCATGTCTTGGTGAGTCCTGGAAGGGAAGGAGCACCAGGGTTACACTATGGGCCTGCAGATTGGGTGTCTCCCCAGCAGAGAGCCATGTTCTGAAGCAAGTGAGTGGTGAGGATGAGTTAATTTTCAGTCCAGCGTGGCGCCCAGTGGCTCAGGAGGAAAGGGTAGGTTGGTGCCGAGATGAATAGTTCATCATGATCTTTCTTTGCAGGGTTCTTCTTGGACCAGAGTGTGTGGGCACACGTGGGTGAGTCCTTCCCCAAATGATGGGTTGCCATCTTCACCCCAATACAAGTGAATTTTCCGGAAATGGGAGGGAGGCAGCACAGAGGGTGGGCTGATGGGCTGACCATGGGAAGGCCTGGGGGGAGTCTCTCATGAACTAGTAAGAGGAGATCCTGGGAGTCTCTCATGAACTAGTAAGAGGAGATCCTGGGAGTCTCTCATGAACTAGTAAGAGGAGATCCTGGGAGTCTCTCATGAACTAGTAAGAGGAGATCCTGGTATGCTCAGCCCTCTGTTTTGTCTTAGCCCTCCCCAGCCTTTCTTCCCCATGGCTGAGTTGAGCTCTGTGTGGCCCAGGCGGGATACTGAGGTGCTCAAAGCTGGGGTGTGTGGGGGGATGTGGTGTCACCGACAGAGGAGGGAAGGGTAGCAGTGTTAGGAACAGCAGGTCCTCTGAGGACAAGAGGGTAACTCACACCCTCCAGCGTTTCCATGACGGTAGGGGCTGCAGTGTGGCTGCTGTCATTCTGCCAGAAGAGGTGGGGGAACCACAGCCACGACCCTGCCATTCCAAATCCTCTGATGGAGCTCAGTTGTTTATTGTGGTTCAGGCATTAGCTAATATTCCATTCACAAAGGTCATACCCTCCACCCCATGTCTACTTTGTGTTGTTTGGTGTAACTAATCTTGCAGTATTAAAATCTAGTAAGAGTCCCTTACTCAGCACCTGCTCAGTTCTCAACTGACACTTTTGTTGTAGGGAGACGCCACGTCTATGCGGGATGGGTCCTTCCTGTAGCCCCAGGCACCCAGGTGTGGTAGGAGCCTTAGAAAGAAGAAATGGGGAGAATCTTCTGAGCACAGGGAGGGAGGGGCAGCTCAACATACTCCTCTCTGAGGCGGCATCTCCTTCTCCCCAAGGTGGTCAGGACAAGCCCTTCTGCTCTGCCTGGCCCAGCGCTGTGGTGCCTCAAGGAGGACACGTGACTCTTCGGTGTCACTATCGTCGTGGGTTTAACATCTTCACGCTGTACAAGAAAGATGGGGTCCCTGTCCCTGAGCTCTACAACAGAATATTCTGGAACAGTTTCCTCATTAGCCCTGTGACCCCAGCACACGCAGGGACCTACAGATGTCGAGGTTTTCACCCGCACTCCCCCACTGAGTGGTCGGCACCCAGCAACCCCCTGGTGATCATGGTCACAGGTCAGAGGGCTCCTGTCTGGGCTTCTCCTTGTCCCACCTCCTGAGTCCCAGAGCTTCTGGTGGGGGTGTCCACCAGAGTCCGATCATCCAGGCCCCAACTATATTTGGGGTAAAGGGGGATTGAATACAGGGGAATGGGTGCTGTGTTGGAAAGAATAACTGTCCCCATCGATGGCCACATTGTAATCCTTGGAGCCTGTGACTATGTTATAGGGCAGGGGACTGAAGGGGAAGATGGAGCTCAGGTTGTTGATGAGTTGACCTTGAGATGGGGAGATGGCCTGGACTCTCCCACTGGGCTCAGTGTAATCACAAGGGTCCATATGAGTGGAGAAGGAAGAGGAGAATGGGGATTAGAGCAGCATCGTGGGATACTCCACCAGCCACTGTGGGCTTTGAAGGTGGAGGAAGACCACGAGCCACGAAGGGGCTGGAGAAATCAATGGAACTGATTCTCCCGAGTCTCCAGAGGGAATGCAGCCCTGCAGATGCATTGATTGTAGCCCAGGAAGAACAGGGTCTGATTTCTGTCTCCAGAAGTGGAAGGGGTCAGTGTGTTCTCTCCTGTCGCCATGTTTGTGATAATTTTCTCCAGCAACAACAGGAAACCAACACAGGAACCCAGGTGAAGGACAAGTTAAAAAACCAAACAAGAAGGTTGGCTACCCTGAGATCAGCAAGGGTGCACTGCTGATGCCACCACCAGGCTGGAACCACATAGGGAGGGATCGACAGGAAGAGTTGGGGGTGGAGGGTGAGAGAGAGAGAGAGAGCACTAGGCCATAGAGCAGGGCAGTGAGTTCTCAGCTCAGGTGGGAGGGGAGCTGTGACAAGGAAGAACCTCCCTGAGGAAACTGCCTCTTCTCCTTCCAGGTCTATATGAGAAACCTTCGCTTACAGCCCGGCCGGGCCCCACGGTTCGCACAGGAGAGAACGTGACCTTGTCCTGCAGCTCCCAGAGCTCCTTTGACATCTACCATCTATCCAGGGAGGGGGAAGCCCATGAACTTAGGCTCCCTGCAGTGCCCAGCATCAATGGAACATTCCAGGCCGACTTCCCTCTGGGTCCTGCCACCCACGGAGAGACCTACAGATGCTTCGGCTCTTTCCATGGATCTCCCTACGAGTGGTCAGACGCGAGTGACCCACTGCCTGTTTCTGTCACAGGTGAGGAAAGCCAATGTCTGTCCCATGTCCTATGGTCCTAGAGCCTTAGCTGAGGAGCTTCCTGCTGATGATGGAGAGAAGCATGGACAGATGTGGAGAGAAGATGCAGCATGGTGTGAGGGTGGGATCAGGGCACAGGATGGCAGACAGGGCACCTCCAAACCCTCCTGCATGGCCTGCATGGAAGCTTGCAGTAAGGGCTCCGGGTACCCAGGCAGATGGAGAAAGTGGTCAGGACAGACCCAGAGGAGGGAGACTGGGCTCAGTTTGGGGAGATCAGAGGTTCCCTCAGCCCCTCAACCTTACCCATTTCCCAGAAGCCCACCCTGGCCTCTCACCTACACAGAGATGTCATCACCAGCAACCCCTACACTTTTTCTTTTCCTTTGAAAAAATGCTGATTGAGGTTAAATATACCTATATAATTTATCAACTTTACCATTTTTAAGTGTAAAATCTAGGGATCATAAATACCTTTATATGCTGTGTGCGGTGGCTCACGCCTGTAATCTCAGCATTTTGAGACGCCAAGGCAGGTGGATCATTTAAAATCAGGGGCTGGAGACCAGCCCGGCCAACATGGGGGAACCAATCTTTACTAAAAAGACAAAAAAAATAAAATTAGCCAGGCATGGTGCCAGGCGCCTATAATCCCAGCAACTTGGGAGGCTGAGGCGGGAGAGTGGCTTAAACCCAGGAGGAGGAGGTTGCAGTGAGCTGAGATCATGCCACTGCACTGCAGCCTGGTGACACAGAGAGACTCTGTCTCTAAATAAATAAATAAATAAATACTTTTATATTCTTCTTTTGTTACCCTCCACCCCTTCCTTCCTAACCTCTGGTATCCACCATTCTACTCTCTACCTTCATGAGGTCCACCTTTTACATCCTGCATGTGAGTAAGAAATGGCAATCCTTGTAATGACCTCTAGTCCATCCATGTGGCTGCAAATGACAGGACGTTACTCTTTCTATGGATGAGTTGTCTCCATTGTGTGTATGTACTACATTCTCTCTATCCATTCATCCACTGATGGGCAGGTAGGTTGACTCCACATCTTGGCTACTGTGAACAGTGCTGGAACAGTCATGGGAGTGCAGATGTCACTTCAATACACTGAAGTCCTTTTCTTTGCATTTACACCCACTAGTGGAATTGCTAGATCCTCTGGATGTTCTCTTTTTAGGTTTTGTTTTATGCTTTTTGTTTTTTTGACATAGCGTTTCACTCTTGTTGCCCAAGCTGGAGTGCAATGGCACCACCTGGGCTCACTGCAACCTCTACCTCCAGGATTCAAGTGATTCTCCAGCCTCAGCCTCCCGAGTAGTTGGGATTACTGGTGCCCGCCACCAAGCCTGGCTGATTTTTGTATTTTTAGTAGAGACGGGGTTTCACCATGTTAGCCAGGCTGGTCTCGAACTCTTGACCTCCAGTGATCTGCCCACTTCAGCCTCCCAAGGTGCTGGGATTACAAGCGTGAGCCACAGTGCCTAATCTCTTTTCAGTTTTTAAGGAACTTCCATATTCTTCTCCTCTGTAATGGCTGTATTAATTTACATTCCTATCAACAGTGTATCAGGGTTCTCCTTTCTCCACCACCTTGCCAACATTTGTTTTGTCTGTCTCTGAGATAAAACCCATTGTAATGGGGTGAGATGATAGCTCATTGTGACTTCATTTGCATTTCTCTGATGATTAGTGATACTGAGCACTTTTTCATATATGCAATGTATATATGTTCATTTGTATGTTTTGTTCATTGAGAAATGTCTGTTCAGGTCTTTTACTAATTTTATAATTAAATTATTAGTTTTATTGAGGTGTTTGAGCTTCTTTTATATTCTAGTTATTAATCCCATCTCAGATGCATAGTTTGCAAATATTTGCTCCCATTCTGTGGGTTTTCTCTTCTTCACTTCATTGGTTGCTTCCTTTGCGGTGCAGAAGCTGCTTGATTTGATATAATCCCAATGGTCTATTTTTTTTGTTGTTGTTGTGATTACTTGTGTTTTTGAGGTTTTAAACAAAATGTCTTCCCTCAGACAAATGTCCTGGAGCATTTCTCCAGTGTTTCCTTTTAGACATTTAATGGATTCAGGTCTTAAGTCATTAATCCATTTTCATCTGATTTTTGTGTATGGTGAGAGGTAGAGATGCAGTTTCATCCCTCTGCATGTAGATATCCAGTTTTCCCTGCACCATTTATTGAAATGACTGTCCTTTCCAGATTGTAGATTCTTCGAACCTTTGTCAAAGTCCATTGGATGTAAATGGGTGGATTACATCCGTGTTCTTCATTCTGCTTCATTGTTTTATGTGCTTTTCTTTATGCCAATGTCATGTTGTTTTGCTTACTACAGCTCTGTAACATATTTTTAAGTCAGGTAGTGTGATGCTCCTGTTTTCTCCTTATACCTTGAAGTCTCAAGATAGTTGGTGTCACCTACAATGATTATGGAGAATGGGATGCCAGGACTCCCAGGGCCCAACATTAGATAATAGAAGGTTGGCCATGAACCAACCTCAAAGATTTCCATTGAGTAGAAAAGACAGGCATCCTCATTGCCACACCTCTCTCCTGTCCCATGTTCTAGGAAACCCTTCTAGTAGTTGGCCTTCACCCACTGAACCAAGCTTCAAAACTGGTAAGTGAAGGACCCCTCTTATCTCTGCTTTTGGAAACCTGGGGAGGTAGAAGCCTTGGATTCAAGCGTTGGCTCAGCACCTGCCAGCTCTGTGATTGTGGGCCTGTCTTCCATTGTCTCTGAACCCCAGACACTCCAACAGCGAAAGGGATCTGGGCCCAGCACAGGGCTCAGTGAAATCTCTTAATCTCTAATTTTCTGCTGCTGAGACCTCAGGGTAGAAGGATGAGTGCAAATCAGACATTCTTCTCAGGAAAAATGCTGTGTTTGTTCTGCCTGCATTCCTAACTGGGAGGACAAATGCCTGGGGGCTTGAGAAGGGGAAGGAAGGGGAACATTTTTGAGGGTGGTGTGTTTGTAGAGAAGTTCTACTTGCCAAGGAATGAGCTCCTGTCTGTCATGATCCAACCCTGGTTGACTTAGTGGAACAAGAGCTTTGCGGTAAGAGAGAACGTAGTTCATCCGTGCACATGACACTTCCACTTACTCGTTCAGCCACTGCCCCATGCTCAGACTGTGCAGTGTGGAACTTTTTCCTATGTTGCCATAACAAATTTCCACAAGCTTCGTGGATGGAAACCACATTTTTAAAAAATATCTCATGGTGCTGTAGCTCAGAAGTATGAAATGCATCATCTCACTGGGCTAAAATCAAGGTGACAGCAAGGCTGCCTTCCCTCTGAATGTTCCAGGCAAGAATCTGCTTCCTCACTTTTCCCAGCTCCTAGAGGCTCCCACATTCCTTGGCTCCTGGTCCCCGTCTTCCTCCCTCAAAGTCCACAAAGGCTGGTCACGCCTCTCACACGGCATCACTCAGACCCTTCTTCCTTGTCCACACCTCTTTCTCTGAATGCTGCTCTGCCTTCTTCCTCATCTTTTAAGGACTTTGGCATTCTATTGGAAACACCAAGATAATCCATCATAATTTCCCTAAAATCATCTAGGATACCCTCCTTTTAAGGTTAGCTGATTAGCAACCGTAATTCCATCTGCAATCTGCATTCCTTTTTTCCATGTAAAATAACATATTCACAAGATATGGCGACTAGGACAGGAACATTTTGGGGTGGGGCGGCATTCTTATCCTTTCCACAAATGGTAAACAAGGTGCATTTGGCCTCTGCTCTTGGACACTGATATTGCAAAGGATTAAATGGGAGGGCAGAAAATGAATACACCAGTGGACCAATAAATGAATGATCCATTGGGAAGCATCTGTGCATGAGAATGATTGATTGATTGGTTGTTTTTATGAGACGGTGTCTCCCTCTGTGCCCCAGGCTGGAGTGCAGTGGCGGGATCTCGGCTCACCGCAACCTCCACCTCCCAGGTTAAAGCGATTCTCTACACTCAGCTTCCCGAGAGGCTGGGATTACACCCATGTCCCACCACGCCTGGCTAATTTTTTTTTGGTATTTTTTTTTAGTACAGACAAGGTTTTACCATGTTGCCCAGGCTATCTCAAACTCCCAACCTTAAGGGATCCGCCCGTCTCAGCCTCCCAAAGTGCTGAGATTAGAGGCGTGAGCCAAGGCGCCGAGCCGTATTTTAAAAGAAATAATAGATAATGCTGAGTGTATAATTTCGGGTGACAGAGAAGTTCTCACTGATCAAATAATACTTGTGACCTTAATGAAAAAAATAGATCAACCCCTGGAAGATTGGCGGAAGGATTTTCCACACAGCTGTCAGCCGTGAAGGCACAAAGGTGAAAACAATGTTATGTGGAAGGAAGAGGCTCTGCCTGAAATGCTGGGAATGACATGGGGAGAATGACAAGACGACTGTGGAGAGACAGAGAGCACTCTGGGTACACAGGAAACTAAGGAGGAACAAGGAGCGTGTGTTTGATACTCACAGCCATTGGACTTACCTCGGGGCTAACTGGGAATCCCTACATGATGAATAGTGACTGACATGAAAATAAGGGAGGCCCAGGTGCATAACTGGAATCTAGGAGACTGTGGAAAAGGCAATTCCCGCCCCCCTGGTGAAATGTGGTGCTGATTTAGACACTAAATGAATGAAAGATGGACACAAGATGTGTTTGTGAGGTAGAGTAATTTGCAGGGAGGGCTTGCCTGGTTTGATTTTTCCTAATTGTTTAATCTTCACTTCATTGATTTCTTTCTGAGATTTATTTTTCCTACATGTAAATCAATACTTGGCAGAGGAGTGAGAGATACATGAGGGGTGGTGCAAAGGAAGAGACCTATTATAATATAACACACAAGGTTCTGAACGGTGGCTCACACCTGTAACCCAACATTTTGGGAGGCTGAGGAGGCTGGATCAAGTGAGATCAGGAGTTCGAGATCAGCCTGGACAACATGGTGAAACCCCATCTCTACAAAATATACAAAAACTAGCTGGGGGTGGTGGCGCGTGCCTGTAATACCAGCTATTCAGGAAGTTGAAGAAGGAGAATGGCTTCAACCAGGGAGGGAGAGGTTACAGTGAGCCAAGATCGCGTCATTGCACTGCACCCTAGGTGACAGAGTGAGACTCCATGGCAAAAAATAAAAATAAAGAATACATAAATATAATATAACATACACGAATGACAAAGGCACACCAATTCCAATCATCATTTTTCTATTTCTCTATAATGACTTCTTTGATCCTTTATCCTATCCATAAGAAAATCAGGCGAAAACATCTTCCTTATTTGGCTTTCTGTGAGCATGAGATCATATGGAAAATGTGAAACCCACCAGCACAGGTCCTGGAATAGAGAACGTGATCTGTTCATGGCACAAAACTTGCCCCTTCACCCAAATCCCCCACCTCACCCCTACTTCCAATCACATTAATGATACAGATAGATCATGGGGAGGTAAAAACTAATATTCTTTGGAGTTCAGATCGTAGACTCAGAGACCAGTGCCAGCACTATCTCCTGGTCACCTTTTGGAGTAATTCACAGAAAGACAGGCTGTATTGAAGCAACAGATGATGGAGGGGGTGGTCTTTCCCCCAGACTCTCGGGTGGAACAGCAGCCTAATATCTGACTCCCAAGATGACAAAAGTAGCATGTTGCCCACGAGCTTCATCATTATTTCCTGGCTGTTTGATATAAGACAGCTCAACCTCACTTATGTTGATTTCAATGTCACTGTTTTTTCCTTTTCTTGGAGAATGTAATTTGTTTGAGTCAAGAGGGTTGTGGATGTAGAAACTGTAAAGCACATTCACTGTGTATCAATCCCAGTCCAGTCTTCCCAGAGAAGACTCTAAACACCTCCCATACTGCACCTGGGCCTGTGCCAATTTCTATCACTCACCATCACTCCAGGGAGACAGAACACACAGGGAATACATTACATAGGCAGGTTCATTACTTATAGATAAGCAGCGAGTGACAACAGAAACCTTCCTTTCAGGGTGAGCCAGTCCCTCAAGGCTCAGAAAAACTGCTCAGGACACATGGAGTCACTTCATGTGCACTGTAGCTGGGGGAAGCCAGAAAGCAGCCCAGCCTGGGTTTTGTACCCTGGAGCCACAGGGAACACTCAGCTAAAGCACTGCATGATGTTCTCCTCCAGGAAGAACAGGAAGACAGCCCAGGCTGTTCTGAGACGTTCCTCCTGATCTCAGGATGTTGCTGTCTTAGCCTATTTTTGTTGCTATAAAAGAACACTTGAGCCTGGGTATCTTCTAAAGAAAAGAGATGTGTTTGGCTCACTGATCGGCACGCTGTACTAGAAGCAGGACACTACCATCTATTTCTGGCTGCGGCCTCAGGCTGCTCCCACACTGACAGAAGAGAAGGGGGTCCTGCGTGTGCAGAGACCACAGAGATCACATGGCAAGAGAGGGAGAAAGGGGGTGTGATGGAGCTTCCAAGCTCTTTTTAAGAATCAACTCTCCAGGGTACTAATAGAGGGAGAACTTGCTAAACCCGTCCTCTGGGGACAGCATTAATCTATTCATGATGGATCCACCCCCATGACCAAAACACCCCTCCCAATAGGCACAACCTCCCACACTGGGGATTAAATTTCAAAGTGGGGTTTGGAGGGGTCAAACATTGAAACAATAGCAGTTGTATCATCAGCACATTCTATTGTTATTATGAAAACTATAACGGAGAAAGCAGGAGAAAGCTGGGTCTCCCGCCTCGTGGGTGCTTGTCCTAAAGAGGTGTTTTATGTGGTTGCCTGGCAACCAAGAAATGAGAGACAATCCACAAAGAGGAACTGCTATGGTTAGCTTCTTATTGGATTCTCATCTTCCTCCAGGTATCGCCAGACACCTGCATGCTGTGATTAGGTACTCAGTGGCCATCATCCTCTTCACCATCCTTCCCTTCTTTCTCCTTCATCGCTGGTGCTCCAAAAAAAAAAGTAAGCCTCACGAAGCAGAGGCCAGAGAACTCAGGGCCCTGTGCGGAAGCAGGATGGGAGCACGCAGGTGTGTGTTCCTCACTGGCAGGAAAGTCTCTGGCCCAAGGCAGGAGCCAGAGGCAGAGCTTTCTAGAGAGAGCACCAGACACCCTGCCCCTGCCTTCAGCTCACAGACCATTGCCTGATTGTGAACTGTATCCTCACGTCCCCTGCAGCCACTCACATCCAGGAGAAGATTCCATGACAGGCAGAAAGTGGGAGATAGAATCAATGGGATGGGAACTGACAGCTATTCATGGAATGGGGTCTTGCACTCAGAGAGATGGAATGTCTGAGTCTGGCTGTTGGCAGCTGAGGGACCTCAGGCACCTATGGCCTCCCCCTGTGTGTTGGTATCTGTTCATGAAATGAGGACCCAGAAGTGCCCTCCCAGCTGTTTTGATTGCTTCCGTCTCCTACAGATGCTGCTGTAATGAACCAAGAGCCTGCGGGACACAGAACAGTGAACAGGGAGGTAGGTCCTCCTAGCCCAGCCTCATGGATACAGTCTTATTCCCTAATAGTCCTGAAAAATGTGAACACCCTCCCTCACTCAGGATTTCCCTCTCTCCAGGACTCTGATGAACAAGACCCTCAGGAGGTGACATACGCACAGTTGGATCACTGCATTTTCACACAGAGAAAAATCACTGGCCCTTCTCAGAGGAGCAAGAGACCCTCAACAGATACCAGCGTGTGTATAGAACTTCCAAATGCTGAGCCCAGAGCGTTATCTCCTGCCCATGAGCACCACAGTCAGGCCTTGATGGGATCTTCTAGGGAGACAACAGCCCTGTCTCAAACCCAGCTTGCCAGCTCTAATGTACCAGCAGCTGGAATCTGAAGGCGTGAGTCTCCATCTTAGAGCATCACTCTTCCTCACACCACAAATCTGGTGCCTGTCTCTTGCTTACCAATGTCTAAGGTCCCCACTGCCTGCTGCAGAGAAAACACACTCCTTTGCTTAGCCCACAATTCTCTATTTCACTTGACCCCTGCCCACCTCTCCAACCTAACTGGCTTACTTCCTAGTCTACTTGAGGCTGCAATCACACTGAGGAACTCACAATTCCAAACATACAAGAGGCTCTCTATTAACACGGCACTTAGACACGTGCTGTTCCACCTTCCCTCGTGCTGTTCCACCTTTCCTCAGACTATTTTTCAGCCTTCTGGCATCAGCAAACCTTATAAAATTTTTTTGATTTCAGTGTAGTTCTCTCCTCTTCAAATAAACATGTCTGCCTTCATTCTTTAGGTGACTCTTTTTTTGGCTGAAAGTTTCCAGTGTTATCATTACCATGTCCAAATAACTCCAACTGTTCTCCACTGGGTTCTCACCCCTGGACTCTGAGCTTCTGGAAGCAGGGTGGAGCCTGATTTGTCTCTGAGACTCCAATTTCCATCCAAAGATGCAGCACATAAGAGGTTCCAAGGATCGTGAATCACATGAACAAGTGATATTCTTACTCTCTGCAGACCTGGAAAGCTGGCAGAGTCATTCCATGATGAAACATTTGTAGAGTCATAGGCCTTGTCAGTCTCATCTCCACGGGGACACATATCAACACATCATCTTTCATACTATAAATATACAGTCGGTCCTCTGTATCTGTGGGATTTACAGGTGTTTATTGAACCAAATATAAATCAAAAATATTCAGAGAAAAAATCCACAAAGTTTCAAAAAGCAAAACTATGTTGAATGGACACAAATGAAGCTGTGTGTAGGCTGTATCAGGAATTATAAATAATCAAGGGATGATTTCATGTACACAGGAGGATGTGCATGGGTTATTTGCAAATGCTGTGCCATTTCATGTAAGAGGCTTGAGCATCTGCAGATTGTGCTATCTGAGTGGAGATCCTGAAACCAATCACCCACGAATAGTGAGGGATGACTGTATATAATTTTTATTTCTCAATTTTAAATATAAAACATAAAAAAATTACAATAACAAGATAAAATAAACAAGTGTTTTATAGTGTGAGAATACTTTTAGATATATTTTTCTCCATGTGTAACCCTTGGGCCCATGTTATTTATTGAGAAGACATTCTATTCCACCTTAAACCACATGGCAGCCTTTGTCAACTATAAAGGGACTGTGTGTACACGGATGTATTTTAGACACTGTTTTCTGCTCAGTGGCTCTCTCTCTGTCCACTCTCTTGAGAATGCTGCATTTTATGCAGCCTTATACAACCCCTAAAATTTGGTAGCTGGAGTCCTCTAGTTATTTATTATAGGCTATTTGCTATGCTTTTTTTATTTTTCTTGAGGCAGAGTCTCGCTCTGTTGCCCAGGCTGGAGTGCAGTGGCACGATCTCGGCTCACTGCAACTTCCGCCTCCCAGGTTCAAGGGATTCCGTGGCTCAGCCTCTTGAATAGCTGGCATTACAAGTGCCTGCTACCAGGCATGGCTAATTTTTGTATTTTTAGCAGAGACATGGTTTCACTATATTGGCCAGGCTGGTCTCAAACTCCTGACCTCGGTTGATCACTCACTTCGGCTTCCAAAGTGCTGGGGAAATTGATTTTCTATAGCATTATGTTACTGGATATTTCTGTAAAATTTAAAATGAGGGAGGCAGAGAGACAGAGAGAGAGCAAACCATGAGTTGGAACTCTGGAATCTTGGGACATGAGACAAATTCTAGATAAATCTACAAAAATCCAGAATTTACATGTTGTGATTTTTGCTGATAAAGTACAATTCTAAGATTGTAAATAATTGCATAATCCTTCCCTGGGAGTTTAAATCATTTGAACTGGTTCTGCTGTAATACTAGAAATACAATCATGAAAAATTCTAATGGTTTATTAGTCACAATTGCTCTGAAAACCTTAATAATACCTATTAGATATTTTGCATATTACACAGGAAGAAGAGTTTGAATCTCAGATAAAAGCAAAAAAAATACATGAAAAGTCTTTCATGTTAGCACAGATTTTAGGCATCTCGTGTTCGGGAGGTTGGATCTAAGACGTGTTTTGAGTTGGTCATAGTGAAGGACGCGAGGTGTCAATTCTAGTGAGAGCAATTTCCAGGAAGCCATGTTCCGCTCTTGAGCGAGCACCCACTGGGCCTCATGCAAGGTAGAAAGAGCCTGCGTACGTCACCCTCCCATGATGTGGTCAACATGTAAACTGCATGGGCAGGGCGCCAAATAACATCCTGTGCGCTGCTGAGCTGAGCTGGGGCGCGGCCGCCTGTCTGCACCGGCAGCACCATGTTGCTCATGGTCGTCAGCATGGCGTGTGTTGGTGAGTCCTGGAAGGGAATCGAGGGAGGGAGTGCGGGGATGGAGATCTGGACCTGGAGGTAAAGATATGGGCCTAGAGGTGGAGTTATGGGCCTGGAGGTGGAGTTATGGGCCTGAAGTGGAGATCTGGGCCTGGAGTGGAGATCTGGGCCTGGAGTGGAGATAGGGGCCTGGGGTGGAGATATGTGCCTGGAGTGGAGATCTGGGCCTGGAGTGGAGATATGGGCCTGGGGTGGAGATATGTGCCTGGGGTGGAGATATGGGCCTGGAGGGGAGATATGGATGGGCCTGGAGGGGAGATGTGGGCCTAGAGGTGGAGTGATGGGCCTAGAAGTGGAGCGATGGGCCTGGAGTGGAGATATGGGCCTGGAGGTGGAGTTATGGGCCTGCAGTAGAGATATGGGCCTGAAGTGGAGATATGGGCCTGGAGTGGAGATATGGGCCTAGAGGTGGAGTTATGGGCCCGGAGGTGGAGTTAAGGGCATGAAGTGGAGATCTGGGCCTGGAGTGGAGATATGATCCTGGAGTGGAGATATGGGCCTGGGGTGGAGATACGGGCCTGGAGCAGACATACAAGCCTGGAAAGGAGATATGGGCCTGGAGAGGAGATAGAAGCCTGGAGTGGAAATATGGGCCTGGAGTGGAGATATGAGCCTGGAGTGGATATATGAGCCTGGAGTTGAGATAGGAGCCTGGAGTGGAGATATGGGCCTGGAGTGGACTTATCAGCCTGGAGAGGAGATATGGGTCTGGAGTGGAGATACGGACCTGGAGTGGAGATCTGGGCCTGTTGTGTAGATCTAGGCCTGGAGGTAGAGATCTGGGCCTGGAGGCTGAGTCTCTGCACAGCCGAGATCCTTGTTCCTGGGGGCAGGTAGGCAGCGAGGGTGAGTTTACCTTCAGCCCAGCAAGGGCCTGGCTGCCAAGACGCACAGCCCAGTGGGGGCAGCAGGGTGCCCTGGTTTGCCTGCAGATGGATGGTCCATCATGATCTTTCTTTCTAGGGTTCTTCTTGGTCCAGAGGGCCGGTCCACACGTGGGTGAGTCCTTCCCCAAACCTTAGGGTGTCATCTCCCCACATAAGAGGATTTTCCTGAAATGGGAGGGAAGTCCTGTCGGGGAGTCTCTCATAAACTAGGAAGAGGGGACCCTCGGATGCTCGGCCCACATTTCTGACCTTGCCCTCCCCGGCCTTTCTTTCCCTTTCCTGAGTCAAGCTCTGTGAAGACTGGGGTGAGACTAGGGTGCTCCAAGATGGGTGTGCAGGGAGGAAGTGGTGTCAGCAGCAGAGAAAGAGAGGGAAGCAGTGCTAGGAACAGCAGGTCCTCTGAGGACAAAGGTGTAACTCACACCCTCCAGCGTTTCCGTGATGGTAGGGGCTGCAGTGTGGCTGTGGTCTTTCTACCAGAAAAGGTGAGGAAACCACAGCCATGGCCCTGACATTCCAAATCCTCTGATGGGGGCTCAGTTCATCAATTGGCTGATATTCCATTCACATAGGACTTGCCCTCCATGCCGTGTCTACTTTGTGTTGTTTTATATGAGTAATTTTGCAGTATTAAAATCTAGTAAGAGTTGCTTCTCCAGCACTTGCTCAAAGTTCTCAGCTGACACTTGTTGTAGGGAGACGCCATGTCTATGCAGGATGGGTCCTTCCTGTAGCCCTGGGCACCCAGGTGTGGTAGGAGCCTTAGAAAGTGGAAATGGGGAGAATCTTCTGGGCACTGGGAGTGAGGGGCGGCTCCACATCCTCCTCTCTAAGGCAGTGCCTCCTTCTCCCCCAGGTGGTCAGGACAAGCCCTTCCTGTCTGCCTGGCCCAGCGCTGTGGTGCCTCGAGGAGGACACGTGACTCTTCGGTGTCACTATCGTCATAGGTTTAACAATTTCATGCTATACAAAGAAGACAGAATCCACGTTCCCATCTTCCATGGCAGATTATTCCAGGAGAGCTTCAACATGAGCCCTGTGACCACAGCACATGCAGGGAACTACACATGTCGGGGTTCACACCCACACTCCCCCACTGGGTGGTCGGCACCCAGCAACCCCGTGGTGATCATGGTCACAGGTCAGAGGCTTTCCGTCTGGGCTTCTCACTGTCCCACCTCCTGAATCCCAGAGCTTCTGGTGGGGGTGTCCGTCAGGGTCCCATCACCCAGGCCCTGACTGTATTTGGGGTCAAGGGAGATTGAATACAGGGGAAATGGGTGCTGTGGTGGGAAGAATCACTGTCCCCAATGATGGCTACATTGTAATCCCTGGAGCCTGTGACTATTTATGTTACAGGGCAGGGGACTGAAGGGGAAGGTGGAGCTCAGGTTGTTGATGAGTTGACCTTGAGATGGGGAGACAGCCTGGACTGTCCCACTGGGCTCAGTGTAATCACAAGGGTCCACATGAGAGGTGGAGGAAGAGGGGAGTGGGGATTAGAGCAGTGTAGTGGGAGGGAGACGCTATCAGCCACTGCGGGCTTTGAAGGTGGAGGAAGACCACTAGTCACAGAATGCAGGTGGCCTCTAAGGGCTGGAGAAGTCAAGAGAACTGATTCGCTGATTCTCCAGAGGGAACGCAGCCCTGTAGACACCTTGATTTCAGCACAGGGAGAACTGGATCCAATTTCTGTCTCCAGAAGTGGAAGGGGTCAGTGTGTTCTCTCCCGCTGCCATGTTTGTGGTAATTTTCTGCAGCAGCAACAGGAAACCAACACAGGAACCCAGGTCAAGGACAAGTTAGGAAACCAAACAAGGATAGCCAGATGTGGTGGTGGGCGCGAGTAATCCAACGACTGGGGAGGCTGAGGCAAGAGAATCACTTGAACTGGGGATTTGTTCAAAAGAGATTGATTCAGGCTGCTAAGAGCCTGGACATGCAGCCTCTCCTCTTCCACCCCCACATAGACAGCAGGAAAGAGATTAGTGGGAAACAGATACAACAGCCCAAGAGATGAGGCTGTCTTCACAGTGGCAAGGGAGTCAGGGGCTACTGGAGACAGAGGGACAGAGGAGAGGGAGGAAGACAGATGGAGGCACCTGCACCAGGGGATATGGGCACAGAAAAGACACGGAGATGCAGAGAGGGAGGAGAGAGACAGACACGGGGAGGGGAACCCTCACTCATTCCAGGTGCCATGGATGGGATGATAAAGAGAGATGCCTTCTAAACTCACAACTTCTCTTTCTAGGAAACCACAGAAAACCTTCCCTCCTGGCCCACCCAGGTCCCCTGGTGAAATCAGGAGAGAGAGTCATCCTGCAATGTTGGTCAGATATCATGTTTGAGCACTTCTTTCTGCACAAAGAGGGGATCTCTAAGGACCCCTCACGCCTCGTTGGACAGATCCATGATGGGGTCTCCAAGGCCAATTTCTCCATCGGTCCCATGATGCTTGCCCTTGCAGGGACCTACAGATGCTACGGTTCTGTTACTCACACCCCCTATCAGTTGTCAGCTCCCAGTGATCCCCTGGACATCGTGGTCACAGGTGAGAGTGTCTAGACATTGTTCTCATTGTCACTGGGACACAGAGTGAATGATCCAGGACTTGGAACCCCCAGGTGGTCATGAGGAAGATAAGTGTGGGATTCTTATGGAAAGAGAGTGACTTGGTGAGGTCTGTACCAACAGAGACAGAGAAACAGGAGACATAAGTACAGAACAGGTGTCATAACAGAGGACAGACACAGGGGCCATACAGGGAGGTAGAAAAGAGAGAAAGAGGTAAAGGAGACACTCAGACAGACAGACATGTCCCAGAGAGAGGTGTCCTTCCATGCTGACTTTGCTCAGAGACCTGGCACAGGTTAGAAGTTTCATTTCTGTTTTACCTCCACAAAGTGTTCCTACCAGAAGAACCCAAGGACACCCATATTTCTGACCTGAGTTGGGCCCTGTGGCCTCAGGCCTTGTGCCACCTACAGATGCCGTGTTTATTCTGACACCTCTGCCTTCCATGCAATGGAGAGTAATCATCCCAGGATATCATGGCCCCTGAACACCAACCCCTGTATGCTGTGTGAACTTGGGGTCCCCAGACTGGATTCTGAGGCTCATATTCCAAATAATCCCACATATGATAGGATCACTGAGAGACACAGAGAAAAATCAGGGACACCAAAAAACAAAGACATAAACACACACAAAATGAGCCAGAAGAAGGAGATTAAGAGATTCACAGACACATAAAAAGAAAGAAAAGAGGGCAGAATGGAGAGAATGATGGAAAGGAGGAGAGAAAAGCCCCAAAATCAGAACCCTGAGGGAGGGACACAAAGACAGAGAAAGATAAATATGTGGGGATGGATTGCAGAGATTCCAAATAGAACTAGAGAGACTGAGAGGCAGAGAAAGACAAGGAGACGGAGAGAGAGAGATGATAGATGGATAGATAGACGTAGATAGATGATAAATAGGTAGATGATAGATAATGGATTGGTTATAGATACATAGATGATGACTGATAGATGATACATAGAGATGACGATGATGATGATAGACACATAGATATATACATAGATGATACATAAATAGAGACAGAGAGGCAGACAGAGAGGTAATAGAGAGAGAGATAGATGATACATATATAGATAATAGATGATTGATGGATAGATAGACAGATAGACAATTGATAGAGAGATAGATAAGTGATACATAAATATAGATGATAGATAATTTGTAGATAGACACAAAATAGATAAATAGATAGAAATGTGCAGAAAGTTATGAACAAGACAGAAAGTGAGAGACTCAAAATTAAAGAAAAAGGAAGATCAAGTCAACCAATCCAAGGAGGGTCAGAGAGAATAAAACAATCCAAAAAGGGAAAACATACCTCAGGGTGGGGAAGTGAGGTCATAGACCTAGAGAGACAGAAAAGGTAGAAGGAGGAAACAGATATGAAGAGAGATGGGGTGGAGGGTGAGAGAGAGAGAGAGAGCATTAGGTCATAGAGCAGGGGAGTGAGTTCTCAGCTCAGGTATGAGGGGAGCTATGACAAGGAAGAACCTCCCTGAGGAAACTGCCTCTTCTCCTTCCAGGTCCATATGAGAAACCTTCTCTCTCAGCCCAGCCGGGCCCCAAGGTTCAGGCAGGAGAGAGCGTGACCTTGTCCTGCAGCTCCCGGAGCTCCTATGACATGTACCATCTATCCAGGGAGGGGGGAGCCCATGAACGTAGGCTCCCTGCAGTGCGCAAGGTCAACAGAACATTCCAGGCAGATTTCCCTCTGGGCCCTGCCACCCACGGAGGGACCTACAGATGCTTCGGCTCTTTCCGTCACTCTCCCTACGAGTGGTCAGACCCGAGTGACCCACTGCTTGTTTCTGTCACAGGTGAGAAAAGCCCATATCTCTCTCATGTCCTATGATCCTAAATCCTTAGCTAAGGAGCTTCCTGCTGATGATGGAGAAAAGCATGGACAGATGCAGAGAGAAGACACAGCAGGTGTGAGGGCGGAGTCAGGGCGCAGGATGGCAGACAGGGCACCTCCAAACCCTCCTTCATGGCCTGCATGGAGGCCTCCGATCAGGGCTCCAGGCACCCAGGCAGATGGAGAAAGCGGTCAGGACAGACCCAGAGAAGGGGAGACTGGGCTTAGTTTGGGGAGATCAGAGGTTCCCTCAGCCCCTCAATCTTATCCATTTCCCAGAAGCCCATCATGGCCTCTCACCCACACAGAGAGATATCATCACCAGCAACCCCTACACCCTTTTCTTTTCATTTTCAAAAATATTTATTGAGGTTAAATGTAACTATATAATTTACCACCTTTACCATTTTTAAAAGTAAAATCTAGTGGTCATAAATACCTTTATATGCTGGGTGTGGTGGTTCACGGTTGTAATCTCGGCGCTTTGAGAGGCCAAGGAAGGTGGATCATTTAAGATCAGGAACTCGAGATCACCCTGGCCAACATGTGGGAAATTCATCTTTACTAAACAGACAAGAAAAATTAGCCGAGCATGCTGGCATGCACCTGTAGTCCTAGCTACTTGGGAGGCTGAGGCAGGAGAAGCACTTAAAGCCAGGAGGCAGAGGTTGCACTGAGCCGAGATCATGCCACTGCACTGCAGCCTGGGAGACAGAGAGAGACTCTGTTTCTAAATAAATAAATACATCTATATTCTTTTTTTTGTTACCCTCCACCCTTCCCTTCCTGGCCTCTGGTGTCCACCATTGTATTCTCCACCTTCATGAGATCCACCTTTTATCTCCTGCATGTGGGTGAGAAATGGGAATCTTTGTAATGACCTCCAGTTCCATCCATGTGGCTGCAAATGACAGGATGTTATTGTTTCTATGGATGAGTAGTCTCCACTGTGTGTGTGTACCACAGTTCTCTATCCATTCACCCACTGATGGGCAGGTAGGTTGACTCCACATCTTGGCTACTGTGAACAGTGCTGGAACAGTCATATGAGTGCAGATATCACTTCGATACACTGATGTCCTTTCCTTTGGATATAAACCCAGTAGTGAAATTGCTGGACACTATGAAAGTTCTCTTTTTTTTTTTTTCTTTTTTGAGAAAGAGTTTCCCTCCTTAGTCCAAGCTGGAGTCTAAGTGGTGAGATCTTGGCTCATTGCAACCTGTGCCTCCTAGGTTCAAATGATTGTCCTGACTCAGCCTCCCTAGTAGCTGTGATTACAGGTGCACGCCACCATGCCTGGCTAATTTTTGTATTTTTTTAGCACAGACGGGATATCCCAATTTTGGGCAGGCTGCTCTCAAACTCCTGACCTCAAGTGAGGTGCCTGCCTCGGTTTCCCAAAGTGCTGAAGTTACAGGCATAAGCCACTATGCCCAGCCTCCTTTTAGTTTTTTAAAGAATTTCCATACTTTTCTCCATAATAGTTGTACTAATTTACATTCCTACCAACAGGGTACCAGGGTTCTCCTTTCTCTACCATCTTGCCAGCATTTGTTTTGCCTGTCTTGCAGTAAAAGCCATTTTACTTTACTTTATTTTATTTATTTATTTATGTTGAGATGGAGTTTCACTCATAGTCTCCCAGGCTGGAGTGCAAGGGTGTGATCTCAGCTCACTGCAACCTCCGCCTCCCGCGTTCAACTGATTCTCCTGCCTCAGCCTCCAAAGTAGCTGGGATTACAGGCATGTGCCACCACGCCTAGCTAATTTTTGTATGTTTAGTAGAGAGGGAGTTTCTCCATGATGGTCAGGCTGGTCTCCCGACCTCAGGTGATCCGCCCACCTCCGCCTCCTGAAGTGCCGGAATTACAGGCGTGAGCCACCGGCCTAAAAGGCATTTTAATGGGATGAGATGAAAACTCATCGCGATTGTAATTTACATTTCTCTGATGATGAGTGATGCCGAGTACTTTTTCATATACGTGATCGCCATTTCTATGTTTTGTTTGTGGAGAAATGTCTCCTCATGTCTTTTGCTCGTTTTTTAATTAAATTGTTTTATTGAGTTGTTTGAGCTTCTTATATTTCCAGTTATTAATCCCGTCTCAGATGAATAGTTTGCAAATATTTGCTCCTATTTTGTCGGTTGTCTCTTCACTTTCTTGGTTTATCTTTTGTGGTGCAGAAGTTGCTTGGTTTGATGTAATCCTAATGGTCTATTTTTTGCTTTGATTACTTGTGTTTTGAAGGTTTTAAACAAAATGTCTTTCGTCAGACAAATGTCTTCCCCATTATTTTCTTCTACATGTTTCATAGGTTCAGGCCTTAGACTCATGTTTTTAATCCATTTTCATTTGATTTTTGTGTATGGTGACAGGTATAGATGCAGTTTTATTCCTCTGCATATAGATATCCAGTTTTCCCCACACCATTTATTGAAAAGACTGTCCTTTCCTGATTGTAAGTTCTCGGCACCTTTGTCAAAGTCCATTAAATGGGCTGGGTATGGTGGCTCACACCTGCAATTCCAGCACTTTGGGAGGCCGAGGCGGGTGGATCACCTGAAGCCAGGAGTTCAAGATCAGGCTGGCCAACAGAGTGAAACCTCGTCTCTACTAAAAATACAAAAATTAACTGAGCATGGTGACCAGTGCCTGTAATACCACTACTCGGGTGTTTGAGGCAAGAGAATTGCTTGAATCCAGGAAGTGGAGGTTGCATTGAGCTGAGATTGCACCTCTGCACTCCAGCCTGCATGACAGAGCAAGATTCTAACACACACACACACAAAAAAAGCCATTGGATGTAAATGCATGGATTATATCTGTGTTCTCCATTCTGTTTCATTTTTTATGTGCCTTTCTTTATGCCAATGTCATGCTGTTTTGCTTACTACAGCTCTGTAACATATTTCTAAGTCAGGTAGTGTGATGCTCCTGTTTTCTCTTTATACCTTCAAGTCTCAAGACAGTGGGCATCGCACACAAAAATTATGGAGAAGAGGATCCCAAGACTCCCAGGGTCCAACATTAGATAACAGAGTGTTGGCCATGAACCAACCTCAAAGATTTCCATTGAGTAGAGGACAAGCACCCTCATTTCCTCACATCTCTCCTGTCCCATGTTCTAGGAAACCCTTCAAGTAGTTGGCCTTCACCCACAGAACCAAGCTCCAAATCTGGTGAGTAAAGGACCCCTCTTATCTCTGCTTTTGGAAACCTGGGGAGGTGGAAGCCTTGGATGCAAGTGTTGGCTCAAACCTCCCAGCTCTGTGAATGAGGGCCTGTCTTCCACCATCTCTGAACTCCAGACACTCCAACAGTGAAAGGGATCTAGGGCCACCAAAGGACTCAGCGAAGTCTCTTAACCTTTAATGTCCTGCAGGTGAGACCTCCTACAAGCTAGAAGAATGATTGCCAATCTGACATCCTTCTCAGGAAACATGCAGTGTTTTTTCTTCCTGCATTCCTAACTGGAGGATAAATTCCTGGGGACTTGAGAGAGGGAAGGGAAGGGAACATCTGATGAGGGCGAGGTGTTTTAGAGAAGTTCCACTTGCCAAGGAATGAATTACTGTTGGTCATGAAGCAACCCTGGCTGACTCAGCAGAGCAAGAGCCTTGCCGTAACAGAGAACAGAGCTCATGCACGCACACTTCGACTCACTGACTCATTCAGCCACGGCCCCATGCTCAGGCTGTGCAGTTGGAATCCTTTCCTATTGTTGCCATAACAAATTTCCACAAGATTCGTGGGTGAAAACAAAACGGTTTTTTAATTATCTTACAGTGCTGTAGCTCAAAGTAGGAAGTGCATCTTACTGGGCTAAAATCAAGGTGACAGCAAGGCTGCCTTCCCTCTGAGGATTCCAGGCAAGAATCTGCTTCTCACTTGTCCCAGCTTCTAAAGGCTCCCAGTTCCTTGGCTCCTGGTCCCCTTCCTCCTTCCTCAAAGCCCACAAAGACTGGTCACATCTCACATGGCATCACTCAGACCCTTCTTCCTTACCACACCTCTTTCTCTGAATGCTGCTCTCCCTTCTTCCTTATCTTTTGAAAACTTGGGGATTCTATTGGGTTCACCAAGATGAAAATCCATCATAATCTCCCGGAAATCATTCAGGATACCCTTGTTTTCAGTTCAGCTGACTAGCAACCGTAATTCCATCTGCAATCTTCATTCCTTCTTTCCATGTAAAATAAGATATTCACAAGCTATGGAGGCTAGGACAGGGACATTTTGGGGTGGGACAGCATTCTCCTGCCTTCCACGAACGGTGAACAAGATGCATTTGGCCTCTGCTCTTGGGACACTGATATTGCAGATGGTTAAATGGGAGGACAGAAAATGAATGCACAAGTGGACCAATAAATGAATGATCCATTGGGAAGCATCTGTGCATGAAATCTATTTGTTTGTTCGTTCATTTATTTATTGAGACAGAGTCTCCCTCTGTCTTCCAGGCTACAGTGCAGTGTCACGATCTTGGCTCACTGCAACCTGCGTCTCCTGGATCCAAGTGATTCTCCTGCCTCACCCTCTCGAGTAGCTGGGATTACAGGCAACTGCCACCATGCCCGGCTAATTCTTTTTGTATATTTTTTGTAGAGAGGATGTTTCACCATGTTGGCCAAGCTTGTCTGAAACTCCCAACCTCAAGTGATCCGACCATCTCAGCAACCCAAAGTACTGGGATTACAGGCGTGAGCCACTTTGCCCAGCCAGAATTCAAAATAAATAATAGATAATGCTGAGTGTATAATTTTGGGTGACAGAGAAGGTCTCACTAATCAGATATTTGTGACATTAATGAAAAACACGGATTGAACCCCTGAAAGATTGGCGGAAGGATTTTCCACACACAGCTGTCAGCCGTGAAGGCAGAAAGCTGAAAACAATCTGATGTGGAAGGAAGAGGCTCTGCCTGAAATGCTGGGAATGAGGTGGGGAGAATGACAAGACGACTGTGGAGAGACGGAGAGCACACTGGGTACACAGGAAACTAAGGAGCAACAAGGAGTGTGTGTTTGACACTCACAGCCATTGGATTCACCTCGGGGTAGCCAGGAATCCCTACATGATTAATAGTGACTGACATGAAAATAAGGGAGGCCCAGGTGCGTAACTGGAATCTAGGAGACAGTGGAAAAGGCAATTGCCGCCCCACTGGTGAAATGTGGTGCTGATTTAGACCCTAAGTGGATGAAGCAGATGGATATAAGCTATGTTTGGGAGGTAGAATCATTTGCAGGGAGGGCTTGCTGGGTTTGAGTTTCCTAGTTGTTTAATCCTTGCTAAATTAATTTCTTTCTGAGATTTATTCCTCCTACACATAAATCAATACCTGCCAAAGGAGTGACAGATATATGAGGGGTGGTGGAAATGAAGGGACCTATTATAGCATAGTATACAAGTCTGTGAACGGTGGCTCACTCCTGTAACCCAGCACTGCAGGAGGCTAAGGCCAGTGGATTCCAAGAAGTCAGGAGTTCGAGACCAGCCTGGCCAACATGGAGAAACCCTATCTCTACATGGTGAAACCCTATCTCTCCTAAAAATACAAAAATTAGCCGAGCATGGTGGTGCATCCCTGTAATCCCAGCTCCTGCTCTGGAGGATGAAGCAGGAGAATGACTTCAACCCAGGAGGTGGAGGTTGCAGTGAGTGGAGATCGCATCACTGCACTCCAGCCTGGGTGACACAAGGAGACTCCATCTCAAAAAATAAAAATAAGAAATGCATAAATATAATAAAACACACACGAATGACAAAGGCACCTGAATTCCCATCATCATTTTTCTATTTCTCTATAATTACTTCTTTGATCCTTTATCTTATCCATTAGGCAATCAGCCTAAAACCTCTTCCGTATTTGGCTTTCTGTGAGCATGAGATCATATAGAAAATGTGAAAGCCCGCTGAATCCTCCAGCACAAATCCTGGAATAGAGAAAGTGCTCTGGTCATCACAAAAAAAACTTGCCCCCTCACCCAAATCCCCCATCTCACCCCTACTTCCAATCACCTGTGGAGATACAGATAGATCATGGGGAGGTAAATGCTAATACTCCTTGGAGTGAGTCCAGATCTTGGAATCAGAGATCAGTGCCAGCACTAGCTCCTGCTCCCCTTTCCTACTAATTCACAGGAGGACAGGTGGTATTGAAGCAATAGATAGTCGAGGGGGTGGTCCTTCCCCCAGCCTCTGAGGTAGAACAGCAGCCTAACATGTGTCTCCCGAGATCACAAAGAGTAGCACATTTCACACGGGCTTCAACACTATTTTCTGGCTGTTTGACATAAGAGAATTCTACTTCGCTTTTTTTATATTGATTTCACTTTTGTTTCCTTTTCTTGGAGAATGCAAGTTGTTTAACTCAAGAATGCCGTGGATGTAGAAATCCTAAAGCACATTCGCTGTGTATCAATCCCAGTCCAGTCTTCCCAGAGAAGACTCTAAACACCTCCTGGACTGCACCTGGGCCTATGCCAATTCCTATCACTCACCGTCACTCCAGGGAGACAGAACACACAGAGAATACGTTACATAGGCAGGTTCATTACTAACAGATAAGCAGCGAGTGACAACAGAAGCCTACATTTCAATGTGAGCCAGTTCCCCAAGGCTCAGAAAAGCTGCTCGAGACATGTGGAGTCACCCCATTTGCAGTGTAGCTGGGGGAAGCCAGAAAGCAGCCCAGCCTGGGTTTTGTACCCTGGAGCCACAGGAAGCACTCAGCTAAAGCACTGCATGACGTCCTCCTCCAGGAAGAACAGGAAGACAGCCCAGGCTGTTCTGGGACGATCCTCCTGATCTCAGGACTTTGCTGTCTTAGTCCATTTTTGTTGCTCTAAAGGAACACTTGAGCCTGGGTAACTTCTAAAGAAGAGATTGGTTTGCCTCACCATTCTGCAGGCTGTACTGGAAGCATGGCACCAGCATCTATTTCTTATGATGGCCTCAGGCCGCTCCCACTCTGGCAGAAGGGAAGGAGGGTCTGTCTGTGCAGAGACCACAGAGATCACACGGCAAGAGAGGGAGCAAGGGGGAGGGGGAGCAATGGAGCTTCCAAGCTCTTTTTAACAACCAGCTCTCCAGGAACTAATAGAGAGGGAACTTGCTAACCCCGTCTCCTTGGGACAGCATTGATCTGTTCATGATGGATCCACCTCCATGACCCAAACACCTCCCAAGAGGCCCAACCTCCCACACTGGGGGTTAAATTTCAATGTGAGGTTTGAAGGGGTCAAACATCTCAACTAAAGTAGTTGTATCCTCAGCACGTTCCATGGTTACTATGAGAGCTATAACTGAGAAAGCAGGAGGAAGCTAGGTCTCCCGCCATCTGGGTGCTTGTCCGAAAGAGATGCTGTAAGTGGTTACCTGTCAATCAAGAAATGCAAGACAATTCATATAGAGAAACTGCTATGATTAGCTTCTTACTGGTGTCTCCTCTTCTTCCAGGTAACCCCAGACACCTGCACATTCTGATTGGGACCTCAGTGGTCATCATCCTCTTCATCCTCCTCCTCTTCTTTCTCCTTCATCTCTGGTGCTCCAACAAAAAAAGTAAGTCTCACGGGGCACAGGCCAGAGAGCTCAGGGCCATGTGGGGAAGCAGGATGGGAGCACACAGCTGTGTGTTCCTCACTGGCAGGATGGTCCCTGGCCCAAGACAGGAGCCACAGAGGCAGGACTTTCTAGAGAGAGCACCAGACTCCCTGCCCCTGCCTTCAGCTCACAGACCGTTGCCTGATTCTGAACTGTATCCTCATGTCCCCTGCAGCCACTCACATCCAGGAGAAGGTTCCATGAGAGGCAGAAAGTGGGAGACAGAATCAATGGGATGGGAACTCAGAGCTATTCATGGGATGGGTCCTTGAGCTCAGAGAGATAGAATGTCTGAGTCTGCTGTTGGCAACTGAGGGACCTCAGGCACCTATGGCCTCCCCCTGTTTGTTGGTATCTGCTTATGAAATGAGGACCCAGAAGTGCCCTCCGAGCTCTTTTGTTGACTTCCGTCTCCTACAGATGCTGCTGTAATGGACCAAGAGCCTGCAGGGAACAGAACAGCCAACAGCGAGGTAGGTGCTCCTCGGCCCAGCCTCGTGGCTAGTGTTATTCCCAAACAGTCCTGGAAAACGTGAGCACCCTCCCTCACTCAGCATTTCCCTCCCTCACTCAGCATTTCCCTCTCTCCAGGACTCTGATGAACAAGACCCTGAGGAGGTGACATACGCACAGTTGGATCACTGCGTTTTCACACAGAGAAAAATCACTCGCCCTTCTCAGAGGCCCAAGACACCCCCTACAGATACCATCTTGTACACGGAACTTCCAAATGCTAAGCCCAGATCCAAAGTTGTCTCCTGCCCATGAGCACCACAGTCAGGCCTTGAGGACGTCTTCTAGGGAGACAACAGCCCTGTCTCAAAACCGAGTTGCCAGCTCCCATGTACCAGCAGCTGGAATCTGAAGGCGTGAGTCTTCATCTTAGGGCATCGCTCCTCCTCACGCCACAAATCTGGTGCCTCTCTCTTGCTTACAAATGTCTAGGTCCCCACTGCCTGCTGGAAAGAAAACACACTCCTTTGCTTAGCCCACAGTTCTCCATTTCACTTGACCCCTGCCCACCTCTCCAACCTAACTGGCTTACTTCCTAGTCTACTTGAGGCTGCAATCACACTGAGGAACTCACAATTCCAAACATACAAGAGGCTCCCTCTTGACGTGGCACTTACCCACGTGCTGTTCCACCTTCCCTCATGCTGTTTCACCTTTCTTCGGACTATTTTCCAGCCTTCTGTCAGCAGTGAAACTTATAAAATTTTTTGTGATTTCAATGTAGCTGTCTCCTCTTCAAATAAACATGTCTGCCCTCATTGCTTCAGGTAATGTGACACTGTATTCGCTGAAAGAAACCGCTGTTATCATTACCATGTCCACATAACCCCATCTGTTCTCCGCTGGGTTCTCACCCCTGGATTCTGAGCTTCTGGAAGCAGGGTGGAGCCTCATTTGTCTCTGGGACTCCAATTTCCATCCAAAGATGCAGCACATAGGAGGTTCCAAGGATCGTGAATCACATGAACAAGTGATATTCTTACTCTCTGCAACCTGGAAAGCTGGCAGAGTCATTCCACGATGAAACATTTGTAGAGTCATAAGCCTTGCTAGTCTCATCTCCACGGGGACACATATCAACACATCATATTTCATACTATAAATATACAGTCGCTCCTCCATATCTGTGGGGTTTACAGGTGTTTATTGAACCAAGTGTAAATCAAAAATATTCAGAGAAAATGTCCACAAAGTTTCAAAATGCAAAACTATGTTGAATGGACACAAATGAGGCAGTGTGTAGGCTGTATCAGGAATTATAAGTAATCAAGAGATGATTTCATGTATACAGGAGGATGTGCATGGGTTATATCCAAATGCTGTGTCATTTTATGTAAGAGGCTTGAGCATCTGCAGATTTTGGTACCTGAGTGGAGATCCTGAAACCAATCACCCACGAATAGTAAAGGATGACCGTATATGACTTTTATTTCTCAATTTTAAATATAAATCATAAAAAATGTACAATAACTAGATAAAAAGTAAGAAGTGTTTTTATAGTGTGAGAATAAGTTTAGATTTATTTTTTCCTACGTGTAACCCTTTGGTTTAATATTATTTATTAAGAAGACATTCTATGCCACCTTAAACCACACGGCAGCCTTTGTCAACTCTAAAGGGACTGTGTGTACACGGATGTATTTTAGACACTGTTTCTGCTAAGGGGCTCTCTGTGTCCACACTCTTGAGGATGCTGCACTTCATGTAGCCTTATAAAACCCTTTAAATTTAGTAGCCAGAGCCCTCTAATTTGTTATTATAGGCTACTTGCTATTTTTTTTTCTTGAGGCGGAGTCTTGCTCTGTCGCCCAGGCGGGACTGTAGTGGAGCAATCTCAGCTCACTGCAACTTCCGCCTCCCAGGTTCAGGCGATTCTCGTGCCTCAGCCTCTTGAGTAGCTGGCGTTACAGGTGCCTGCCACCAGGCACGGCTAATTTTTGGATTTTTAGCAGAGACACGGTTTCACTATGTTGGCCAGGCTGCTCTCAATCTCCTCATCTCAGTTGATCCGCCCACCTCGGCTTCCCGACCTGCTGGGGGAAACTTGATTTTCTATAGCATTATGTTACTGGATATTTCTGTAAAATTTAAAATGAGGGAGGCAGAGAGACAGAGAGAGAGCAAACTCCAAAGTTGGGACTCTGGAATCTTGAGTCATGAGACAAATTATAGATAAAACTACAAAAATCCAGAATTTACATGTGTGGTTTTTGCTGATAAAGTACAATTCTAAGATTGTAAATAATTGCATAATCCTTCCCTGGGAATTTAAATCATTTGAACTGGTTCTGCTGTAATACTAGAAATACAAGCATGAACAATTCTAATGGTTTATTAGTCACAATGACTCTGAAAACACTAATAATACCTATTAGATATTTTGCATATTACACAGGAAGAAGAGTTCGAATCTCAGATAAAAACAATAAAAATTCATGAAAAGTCTTTCATGTTAGCACAGATTTTAGGCATCTCATGTTTGGGAGGTTGGATCTAAGACATGTTTTGAGTTGGTCATAGTGAAGGACGCGAGGTGTCAATTCTAGTGAGAGCAATTTCCAGGAAGCCATGTTCCGCTCTTGAGCGAGCACCCACTGGGCCTCATGCAAGGTAGAAAAAGCCTGCGTACGTCACCCTCCCATGATGTGGTCAACATGTAAACTGCATGGGCAGGGCGCCAAATAACATCCTGTGTGCTGCTGAGCTGAGCTGGGGCGCGGCCGCCTGTCTGCACCGGCAGCACCATGTCGCTCATGGTCATCATCATGGCGTGTGTTGGTGAGTCCTGGAAGGGAATAGAGGGAGGGAGCGTGGGGATGGAGATCTGGGCCCAGAGGTGGAGATATGGGCCTGGAGGTGGAGTTATGGGCCTGGAGTGGAGATCTGGGCCTAGAGATGGAGTGATGAGCCTAGAAGTGGAGATCTGCGCCTGGAGTGGAGATCTGGGCCTGGAGTGAAGATCTGGGCCTGGAGTGGAGATATGGGCCTGGAGTGGGGATAGGAACCTGGAGTGGAGAGAGGAACCTGGAGGAGAGATAGGAACCTGGAGGGGAGGTAGGAGCCTAGGGTGGAGATATGTGGCTGGAGTGGAGATATGGGACTGGAGTGGAGATATGGGCCTGGAGTGGAGTTATGGGCCTGGAGTGAAGTTATGGGCCTGGAGGTGGAGATACGGGCCTGGAGTGGAGATATGAGCCTGGAGTGGAGATATGGTCCTGGAGTGGAGATATGGGCCTGGAGTGGAGATATGGGTCTGCAGTGGAGTTATGGGCCTGGAGTGAAGTTATGGGCCTGGAGGTGGAGATATGGGACTGGAGTGGAGATATGGGACTAGAGTGGAGATAGGGGCCTGGAGGTGGAGATCTGGGCCTGGAGTGGAGATCTGGGCCTGGAGTGGAGATCTGGGCCTGGAGTGGAGATATGGGCCTGGAGTGGAGATATGGGTCTGCAGTGGAGATATGGGCCTGGAGGTGGAGATATGGGCCTGGAGTGGAGTTATGGGCCTGGAGTGAAGTTATGGGCCTGGAGGTGGAGATATGGGCCTGGAGTGGAGATATGGGACTAGAGTGGAGATAGGGGCCTGGAGGTGGAGATCTGGGCCTGGAGTGGAGATATGGCCCTGGAGTGGAGATATGGGCCTGGAGTGGAGATATGAGCCTGGAGTGGAGATATGGCCCTGGAGTGGAGATATGGGCCTGGAGGTGGAGATATGGGCCTGGAGTGGAGTTATGGGCCTGGAGTGAAGTTATGGGCCTGGAGGTGGAGATATGGGCCTGGAGTGGAGATATGGGACTAGAGTGGAGATACGGGCCTGGAGGTGGAGATCTGGGCCTGGAGTGGAGATATGGCCCTGGAGTGGAGATATGGGCCTGGAGTGGAGATATGAGCCTGGAGTGGAGATATGGCCCTGGAGTGGAGATATGGGCCTGGAGTGGAGATATGAGCCTGGAGTGGAGATATGGCCCTGGAGTGGAGATATGGGCCTGGAGTGGAGATATGGGCCTGGAGTGGACATATGGGTCTGGAGTGGAGATACGGGCCTGGAGGTGGAGATATGGGCCTGGAGTGGAGATATGGGCCTGGAGGTGGTGATATGGGCCTGGAGTGTAGACATGGGCCGAGTGGAGATATGGGTCTGGAGTGGAGATATGGGCCTGGAGTGGAGATATGGGACTGGAGTGGAGATATAGGCATGGGGTGGAGACATGGGCCGGGAGTGGAGATATGGGACTGGAGTGGAGATACGGGCGTGGGGTGGAGATATGTGCCTGGAGGTGGAGATATGGGCGTGGGTTGGAGATATGGGCCTGGAGTGGAGATATGGGCGTGGGGTGGAGATATGGGTCTGGAGTGGAGACATGGGCATGGGGTGGAGATATGGGCCTGGTGTGTAGATATGGGCCTGGAGTGGAGATATGGCCCTGGAGTGGAGATATGGGCCTGGAGTGGAGATCTGGGCCTACGGTGGAGATATGGGCCTAGGATGGGGATATGGGCCTGGAATGGAGATATGGGCCTGGGTGTGGAGATATGGGACTGGAGTGGAGATATGGGCCTGATGTGGAGATATGGGCTTGGAGTGGAGATATGATCCTGGAGTGTAGTTATGGGCCTGGAGGTGGAGATCTGGGCCTGGGGTGGAGATATGGGCCTGGAGTGGAGATATGGGACTGGAGAGGAGATATGGGACTGGAGTGGAGATATGGGCCTGGAGTGGAGATATGGGCCTGGATTGGAGATATGGGCCGAGGGTGGAGATCTGAGCCTGGATTGGAGATGTGGGCCCGGATTGGCTATATGGGTCTAGGGTGGAAATATCGGCCTGGAGTGGAGATATGGGCCTGGAGTGGAGATATGGGCTTGGGGTGGGGATATGGGCCTGGAGGCTGGGTCTCTGTACAGCCGAGAGCACTGTTCTTGGGTGCAGGTAGGCACTGATGGTGAGTTTACCTTCGGCCCAGGAAGGGGCTGGCTATCAAGACTCACAGCCCAGTGGGGGCAGCAAGGAAGGCCTTGTTTGCCTGCAAATGGATCTTCCATCATGATCTTTCTTTCCAGGGTTCTTCTTGCTGCAGGGGGCCTGGCCACAGGAGGGTAAGTCCTTCTCCAAACCTTAGGGTGTCATCTCCCCACATAAGAGGATTTTCCTGAAACGGGAGGGAAGTCCTGTCAGGGAGTCTCTCATAAACTAGGAAGAGGGGACCCTGGGGTGCTCGGCCCACAGTTCCGACCTTGCCTCCCTGGCCTCTCAACCCCTTGGCAGAGTCAAGTTGTGTGGGGACCAGGGTTGGACTAGGGTGTTCAAAGCTGGGTTGTGTGGTGGGGAAGTGGTAGGAACAGCAGATCCTCTGAGGACAAAGGTGTTACTCACACACTTCAGCGTTTCCATGACGGTAGGGGCTGCAGTGTGGCTGCTGTCATTCTACCAGAAGAGGTGGGAAACCACAGCCATGGCCCTGACATTCCAAATCCTCTGATGGGGGCTAAGTTTTTTATTTTCATTCAGGCAACTGCTGATATTCCATTCTCAAAGGACATGCCCTCCACTTCATGTCTACCCTGTGTTGTTTTATGTCAGTAATCTTACAGTATTAAAATCTAGTAGGAGTCTCTTACTCAGCACTTGCTCAAAGTTCTCAGCTGACACTTTTGTTGTACGGAGACACCTTGTCTTTGTGGGATGGGTCCTTCCTTTAGCCCTAGGCACCAAGGTGTGATAGCAGCCATAGAAATGTGGAAAGTGGGGAGAATCTTCTGAGCACAGGGAGGGAGGCACAGCTCCACATCCTCCTCTCTAAGGCGGCGCCTCCTTCACCCCAAGGTGGTCAGGACAAGCCCTTGCTTTCTACCTGGCCCAGCCTTGTGGTGCCTCCAGAACATGTGACTCTTCAGTGTCACTCTAATCTTGGGTTTAACAACTTCAGTCTGTACAAGGATGATGGGGTGCCTGTCCCTGAGCTGTACAACAGAATATTCTGGAAAAGCCTTTTCATGGGCCCTGTGACCCCGTCACATGCAGGGACCTATAGATGCCGGGGTTCACACACACACTCCCCCAGTGGGTGGTCGGCACCCAGCAACCCCCTGGTGATCATGGTCACAGGTCAGAGGGCTCCTGTCTGGGATTCTCCTTGTCCCACCTCCTGAATCCCAGAGCTTCTGGTAGGCATGTCCTTGAGGGTCCCATCACGCAGGCCCTAACTGTATTTGGGGTAAAGGGGGATTGAATACAGGGAAATGGGTGCTGTGGTGGGAAGAATAAGTGTCCCCAGTGATGACTGCATTCTAATCCCTGGAGTCTGTGACTATTTATGTTATAGGGGAAGGGACTGAAGGGGAAGATGGAGCTCAGGTTGTTGATGAGTTGACCTTGAGATGGGGAGACAGCCTGGACTGTCCCGGTGGGCTCAATATAATCACAAGTGTCCACATGAAAGGAGGAGGAAGAGGAGAGTGGGGATTAGAGCAGCGTAGTGGGAGACTCCATTAGCTTTGAAGGTGGATGAAGGCCATAAGCCATGAATGCAGGTGGCCTATAGAGGCTGGGAAAGTCAAGTAACTGATTCTCCTGAGTCTCCAGAGGGAACACAGCCCTGCAGATGCCTTGATTTTAGCCCTCGAAAAACAGGGTCCGCTTTCTGTCTCCAGAATCGGAGGGGGTCAGTGTGCTCTCTCCTGCTGCCATGCTTCTGATAATTTTCTACAGCAGCAACAGGAAACCAACACTGGAACCCAGGTCAAGGACAAGTTAAGAAAAGACACAAGGATAGCCAGGCATGGTGGCAGGTGCATGTAATCCTAGCGACTCGGGAGGCTGAGAGCAGGAGAATCGCTTGAACCCAGGAGACAGAGGTTGCAGTGAGCGTAGACCACACCACTTCACTCCAGCCTGGGTGAAGGAGTGAGACTCTGTCTCCAAAATTAATTAATTAATTAAAGAAACCAAACAAAGAGAAGGTTGGCTACACCGAGATCAGCAAGGGTGGGATGATGATGCCACCACCAGGCTCCATCCACATAGGGAGGGGTTGATACTCCTCAAATCAGCACGAGGAGCCAGCCTATGGAAACTGGCACCATGGAGAAGGCACAGACATGGCAAGAGTGGCTCCCAGTCCCCACCAGGAACAGGGTGTGTGGACACTGGTGCCTGCCTTACTGATCAGTTCATACCTCCTGCCAAGGATTCCAATTCGTCCAAAAGAGATTGAACCAGGCTGCTAAGAGCCGGGACGTGCAGCCTATCCTGCTTCCTCTTCCACTCCCACATAGACAGTAAGAAAGACATTAGTGTGAAATAGATACAACAGCCCAAGAGATGAGGCTGAGCCCAGTGGGAAGGGAATCACAGCTACTAGAGACAGAGGGACAGAGAAGAGGGAGGGAGACAGATGGAAGGACCTGCACCAGGAGTTATGGGCACAGAAAAGAACATGAAGACACAGAGAGGAAGCAGAGAGACAGACACCAGCGAAGGGAAGTCTCACTCATTCCAGGTGCCATGGATGGGATGATAAAGAGAGACACCTTCTAAACTCACAACCTCTCTTCCTAGGAGTCCACAGAAAACCTTCCTTCCTGGCCCTCCCAGGTCACCTGGTGAAATCAGAAGAGACAGTCATCCTGCAATGTTGGTCGGATGTCATGTTTGAGCACTTCCTTCTGCACAGAGAGGGGAAGTTTAACAACACTTTGCACCTCATTGGAGAGCACCATGATGGGGTTTCCAAGGCCAACTTCTCCATTGGTCCCATGATGCCTGTCCTTGCAGGAACCTACAGATGCTACGGTTCTGTTCCTCACTCCCCCTATCAGTTGTCAGCTCCCAGTGACCCTCTGGACATGGTGATCATAGGTGAGAGTGTCCAGACATTCTTCTCATTGTCATTGGGATGCAGAGTGAATGATCCAGGACTTGGAGACCCAGGTGGTTGTAAGGAAGATGAGCTTGGTATTCTTATGGAGAGAGACTGACTTGGTGAGGTCTGTGCCAACAGAGACAGAGAAACAAGAGACACAAGTACAGACCAGGTGTCATAACAGAGGACAAACACAGGGGCCATACCGGGAGTTAGAAAAGACAGAAAGAGTTAAAGGAGACAGACAGACATGTCCCAGACAGAGGTGTCCTTCCATGCTGACTTTGCTCAGAGACCTGGCACAGGTTAGAAGTTTCATTTCTGTTTTACCTCCACAAAGTGTTCTCTACCAGGAGAACCCAAGGACACCCATATTTCTGACCTGAGTTGGGCCCTGTGGCCTCAGGCCTTGTGGCACCTACAGATGCCATGCTTATTCTGACACCTCTGACTTCCATGCAATGGAGAATAATCGTCCCAAAATATCATGGCCCCAGAACACCAACCCCTGTATGCTGTGTGAACTTGTGGTCTCCAGACTGGATTCTGAGGCTCACATTCCAAATAACCCCACATATCACATATGAGAGGATCACTGAGAAGCACAGAGAGAAATCAGGGACACCAAAAAGCAAAGACATAAACACACAGAGAAAGAGCCAGAGGAAGGAGATTGAGAGACTCACAGACACATAAAGAGAGAGAAGAGGGCAGAGAAGTGGAGAGAATGATGGAAGAGAGCAGAGAAAACCACTAAAATTAGAGTCCTGAGGGCGAGGCACAAGGGCATAGAAAGATGGAGATGTGGGGATGAATTGCAGAGATTCCAAAGAGAACTAGAGAGACCGAGAGGCAGAGCAAGACAGATGATAGATGGATAGATACAGATAGATGATGGATAGATATAGATAGATGATATATAGGTAGATGATAGATAATAGGTTATAGATACATAGATGATGATTGATTGATTCATTAATAGATGATACATAGAGATGATGATGATGAAGATAGATGGATAGATAATACATAGAGATAGAGAGGAAGACAAAGAGAGAAATAATAGAGAGAGAGAGATGATACATATATATAGATAATAGATGATTGACGGATAGACAATTGATAGATAAATAGATGATATATAGATATAGATGACAGGTAGAGAATTTGTAGATAGGCACCGAATAGATAAATAGATGGATTGATAGATAATAGATAGAAATATGCAGAAAGTTATGAACGGGACACAAACTGAGAAACTCAGAGTTAAAAAAAGTAACATCAAGTCAACCAATCCAAGGAGAGCCAGAGAGAATAAAACAATCCAAAAAAGGAAAACATAACTAGAGGTAGGGAAGTGAGGTCAGAGACCTACAGAGACAGAGAAGGTGGAAGGAGGAAATAGACATGAAGAGAGATAGGGTGGAGGGTGAGACAGAGAAAGAGAGCATTAGGCCATAGAGCAGGGGAGTGAGTTCTCAGGTCAGGTGTGAGGGGAGCTGTGACAAGGAAGATCCCCCCTGAGGAAACTGCCCCTTCTCCTTCCAGGTCTATATGAGAAACCTTCTCTCTCAGCCCAGCCGGGCCCCACGGTTCAGGCAGGAGAGAATGTGACCTTGTCCTGCAGCTCCCGGAGCTCCTATGACATGTACCATCTATCCAGGGAAGGGGAGGCCCATGAACGTAGGCTCCCTGCAGTGCGCAGCATCAACGGAACATTCCAGGCCGACTTTCCTCTGGGCCCTGCCACCCACGGAGGGACCTACAGATGCTTCGGCTCTTTCCGTGACGCTCCCTACGAGTGGTCAAACTCGAGTGATCCACTGCTTGTTTCCGTCACAGGTGAGGAAACCCCATATCTGTCCCATGTCCTATGATCCTAGAGCCTTAGCTGAGGAGCTTCCTGCTGATGATGGAGAGAAGCATGGACAGATGCAGAGAGAAGACGCAGCATGCCTGTGAGGGAGGGATCAGGGCGCAGGATGGCACACACAGCACCTCCAAACCCTCCTGCATGGCCTGCATGGAGGCCTCCGATTAGGGCTCCAGAAACCCAGGCAGATGTAGAAAGCGGTCAGGAGAGACCCAGAGAAGGGGAGACTGGGCTCAGTTTGGGGAGATCAGAGGTTCCCTCAGCCCCTCAACCTTACCCATTTCCCAGAAGCCCTTCCTGGCCTCTCACCCACACAGAGATGTCATCACCAGCAACCCCTACATCCTTTTCTTTTTGTTTGAAAAAATATTCATTGAGGTTAAATATACCTATATAGCTTACCACTTTTAACATTTTTTTTTTTTTGAGGTGGAGTCTAGCTCTGTCTCCTATGCTGGAATGCAGTGGCACAATCTCAGCTCACTGTAACCTCCGCCTCCTGGGTTCAAGCGATTCTCCTGCCTCAGCCACCTGAGTAGCTGGTACTACAGGCGCCCATCACCACGCCGGGCTACTTTTTGTATATTTAGTAGAGAGGGGGTTTCACCATGTTGGTCGAGCTGCTCTGGAACTCCTGACCACGTGATCCACCCGCCTCAGGCTCCCAAAGTGCTGGGATTACAGGCATGAGCCACCGCGCCCGGCCACGTTTACCAATTTTAAGTGTAAGGTCTAGTGGTCATAAATACATACATATAAATTTTTTGTTTGTTTGTTTTATCCTCCACCCTTTTCTTCCTGGCCTCTGGTAGCCACCATTCTACTCTCTATCTTCATGAGATCCACCTTTTAGCTCCTGTATATGGGTGAGAAATGAGAATATTTGTAATGACTTCCAGTTCCATCCATGTGGCTGCAAATATCAGGATGTTATTCTTTCTATGGATGAGTAGTCTCCGCTGTGCGTATGTACTACATTCTCTCTATCCATTCATCCACTGATGGGCAGGTAGGTTGACTCCACATCTTGGCTACTGTGAAGAGTGCTGCACCAATCATACGAGTGCAGATATCACTTCGATACATTGATTTACTTTCCTTTGGATATAAACCCAGTAGTGAAATTGCTGGATACTATGAAAGTTCTCTTTTTAGTTTTTCGTTTGTTGTTTTGTTTTTGTTTTTGAGACAGTTTCCCTCTGTGCCCAGGCTGGAGTACAAGTGATGTGATCTTGGCTCATTGCAACCTCCGCCTCCTGGGTTCAAATGATTTTCCTGCCTCAGCCTCCCTAGTAGCTGGGATTACAGGTGCACGCCACCATGCCGGGATACTTTTTGGTTTTTTTTAGTGTACATGGGGTTTCCCCAGGTTGGCTAGGCTGCTCTCAAACTCATGACCTCAACTGAGGTGCCCGCCTCGGTCTCCCAAAGTGCCGGGATTACAGGCATGATCCACTTCATCCAACCTCTTTTTAGTTCTTTAAAGGACTTCCATACTTTTCTCCGTAATGGCTGTACTAATTTACACTCCTACCAACAGGGTACCAGGGTTCTCCTTTCTCTACCACCTTGCCAGCATTTGTTTTGCCTGTCTTGCAGCTAAAAGCCATTTTATTTTATTTCATTTTATTTTGAGATGGAGTTTCGCTCTTGTCACCCAGGCTGGAGTGCAGTGGTGCGATCTCGGCTCACCGCAACCTCCACCTCCCAGGTTCAAGCGATTCTCCTGCCTCAGCCTCCCGAGTAGCTGGAATTACAGGCACACACCACCACGCCCGACTAATTTTTGTATTTTTAGTAGAGACAGCGTTTCTCCATGTGGGTCAGACTGGTCTCAAACTCCCGACCTTATGAGATTCGCCCACCTCGGGCTCTCAGAGTTCTAGGATGACAGACGTGAGCCACCTCGCCCGGCCTAAAAGCCATTTTAATGGGGTGAGATGAAAACTCACTTTGATTTTAATTCGCGTTTCTCTGATGATGAGTGATACTGAGCACTTTTTCGTATGTGGGGAAATTTCATGTCTTTTGCTCCTTTTTCAATTAAATCATTTGTTTTATTGAGTTGTTTGAGCTTCTTATACTTCTAGTTATTAATCCCGTCTCAGATGCATAGTTTGCACATATTTGCTCCCAATCTGTGGGTTGTCTCTTCACTTTGTTGGTTTATTTTTAGCGGTGCAGAAGTTGCTTAGTTTGAGGTAATCCCAATGGTCTATTTTTGCTTCGATTACTTGTGTTTTGAAGGTTTAAAACAAAATGTCTTCCTTCAGACAAATGTACTGGAGCATTTCCCCAATATTTTCTTCTACGTGTTTCACAGGTTCAGGCCTTAGACTCACATCTTTAATCCACTTTCATTTGATTTTTGTGTATGGTGACAGGTAGAGGTGCAGTTTCATTCCTCTGCATGTAGATGTCCAGGTTTCCCTGCACTGTTTATTGAAAAAACTGTCCTTTCCTGATTGTGAGTTCTTGGCACCTTTGTCAAAGTCCATTGGATGGGCTGGGCATGGTGGCTAACACCAGCAACTTCAGCACTTTGGGAGGCCAAGGCTGGTGGATCACCTGAGGACAGGAGTACAAGATTACTCTGGCCGACGTGATGAAACATCGTCTCCACTAAAAATATAAAAATTAGCTGAGCATGGTGGTCAGCACCTGTAATACTACTACTCAGGAGTTTGAGGCAAGAGAATTGATTGAACCCAGGAGGCTGAGGTTGCAGTGAACCGAGATTGCACCTCTGCACTCCAGCCTGGGTGACAGAGCAAGACTCCATCTCAAAAGAAAAAATAAAAAAAATTGGATGTAAATGCATGGATTATATCTGTGTTCTTCATTCTGCTCCGTTGTTCTATGTGCCTTTCTTCATGCCAACATCATGCTGTTTTGCTTACTACAGCTCTGTAACATATTTTGAGATCAGGTAGTGTGATGCTCCTGTTTTCTCTTTATACCTTGAAGTCTCAAGACAGTGGGCGTCACATACAAAAATTATGGAAGAAAGGATCCCTGGACTCCCAGGGCCCAATGTTAGATAACAGAGTGTTGGCCATGAACCAAACTCAAAGATTTCCACTGAGTAGAGGACAGACACCCTCATTTCCTCACCTCTCTCCTGTCTCATGTTCTAGGAAACCCTTCAAATAGTTGGCCTTCACCCACTGAACCAAGCTCCAAAACCGGTGAGTACAGGACCCTCTTATATCCGCTTTTGGAACCCTGGGGAGGTGGAAACCTTGGATTCAGGCGTTGACTCAGCATCTCACAGCTCTGACATTGTACGCCTGTCTTCTACCATCTCCGAACTCCAGATACTCCAACAGCGAAAGGGATCTGGGCCCAACACAGGGCTCAGTGAAATCTCTTCATCTCTCATTTTATGGAGCTGAGACCTCCTACAAGCTAGAAGAATGATTGCCAATCTGACATCCTTCTCAGGAAAAACGCAATGTTTGTTCTGCTTGCATTCCTAACTGGAGGATAAATTCCTGGGGGCTTGAGAGAGGGAAGGGAAGCGAACATCTGATGAGGGCGAGGTGTTTTAGAGAAGTTCCACTTGCCAAGGAATGAGCTCCTGTTGGTCATGAAACAACCCTGGCTGACTCAGCAGAGCAAGAGCCTTGCCGTAACAGAGAACAGAGCTCATGCACGCACACTTTGACTCACTGACTTATTCAGCCACGGCCCCATGCTCAGGTTGTGCAGTGTGGAAGCTTTTCCTATTGTTGCCATAACAAATTTCCACAAGATTCGTGGGTGAAAACAAAACGGTTATTTAATTATCTTACAGTGCTCTAGCTCAAAGCATGAAGTGCATCTCACTGGGCTAAAATCAAGATGACAGCAAGCCTGCCTTCCCTCTGAGGATTCCAGGCAAGAATCTGCTTCTCACTTGTCCCATCTTATAAAGGCTCCCAGTTCCTTGGCTGCTGGTCCCTTTCCTCCTTCCTCAAAACCCACAAAGACTGGTCACATCTCACATGGCATCACTCAGACCCTTCTTCCTTACCACACCTCTTTCTCTGAATGCTGCTCTCCCTTCTTCCTCATCTTTTGAAAACTTGGGGATTCTATTGGGTTCACCAAGATGAAAATCCGTCATAATCTCCCGGAAATCATTCAGGATACCCTTGTTTTAAGTTCAGCTGATTAGCAACCATAATTCCATCTGCAATCTTCATTCCTCCTTTCCATGTAAAATAACATATTCACAAGCTATGGAGGCTAGGACAGGGACATTTTGGGGTGGGACAGCATTCTCCTGCCTTCCACAAATGGTGAACAAGATGCATTTGGCCTCTGCTCTTGGGACACTGATATTGCAGATGGTTAAATGGGAGGACAGAAAATGAATGCACAAGTGGACCAATAAATGAATGATCCATTGGGAAGCATCTGTGCATGAAATCTATTTGTTTGTTTGTTCGTTTGTTTATTGAGACAGAGTCTCCCTCTGTCTTCCAGGCTACAGTGCAGTGTCACGATCTTGGCTCACTGCAACCTGCGTCTCCTGGATCCAAGTGATTCTCCTGCCTCACCCTCTCGAGTAGCTGGGATTACAGGCAACTGCCACCATGCCCGGCTAATTCTTTTTGTATATTTTTTGTAGAGAGGATGTTTCACCATGTTGGCCAAGCTTGTCTGAAACTCCCAACCTCAAGTGATCCGACCATCTCAGCAACCCAAAGTACTGGGATTACAGGCGTGAGCCACTTTGCCCAGCCAGAATTCAAAATAAATAATAGATAATGCTGAGTGTATAATTTTGGGTGACAGAGAAGGTCTCACTAATCAGATATTTGTGACATTAATGAAAAACACGGATTGAACCCCTGAAAGATTGGCGGAAGGATTTTCCACACACAGCTGTCAGCTGTGAAGGCACAAAGGTGAAAACAATCTGATGTTGAAGGAAGAGGCTCTGCCTGAAATGCTGGGAATGAGGTGGGGAGAATGACAAGATGACTGTAGAGAGATGGAGAGCACTCTGGGTACACAGGAAACTAAGGAGGAACAAGGAGTGTGTGTTTGACACTCACAGCCATTGGATTCACCTCGGGGTAACCAGGAATCCCTACATGATTAATAGTGACTGACAAGAAAATAAGGGAGGCCCAGGTGCGTAACTGGAATCTAGGAGACTGTGGAAAAGGCAATTGCCGCCCCACTGGTGAAATGTGGTGCTGATTTAGACACTAAATGAATGAAGTAGATGGATATAAGATATGCTTGTGAGGTAGAATCATTGGCTGGAAAGGCTTGCTGGGTTTGATTTTCCTACTTGTTTAATCCTCGCTTAATTAATTTCTTTCTGAGATTTATTCATCCTACACATAAATCAATACCTGGCAAAGGAGTGACAGATATATGAGGGGTGGTGGAAATGAAGGGACCTATTATAGCATAATATACAAGTCTGTGAACGGTGGCTCATGCTTGTAACCCAGCCCTGCAGGAGGCCAAGGCGGGTGGATTCCATGAAGTCAGGAGTTCCAGACCAGCCTGGCCAACATGGTGAAACCCTATCTGTACTAAAAATACAAAAATTAGCCGAGCATGGTGGTGCATCCCTGTAATCCCAGCTCCTACTCTGGAGGATGAAGCAGGAGAATGACTTCAACCCAGGAGGTGGAGGTTGCAGTGAGTGGAGATTGCATCACTGCACTCCAGCCTGGGTGACACAAGGAGACTCCGTCTCAAAAAATAAAAATAAGAAATGCATAAATATAATAAAACACACACGAATGACAAAGGCACCTGAATTCCAATCATCATTTTTCTATTTCTCTATAATTACTTCTTTGATCCTTTATCTTATCCATTAGGCAATCAGCCTAAAACCTCTTCCCTATTTGGCTTTCTGTGAGCATGAGATCACATAGAAAATGTGAAAGCCCGCTGAATCCTCCAGCACGGATCCTGGAATAGAGAAAGTGCTCTGGTCATCGCAAAAAAAAACTTGCCCACTCACCCAAATCGCCCACCTCACCCCTACTTCCAATCACCTGTGGAGATTCAGATAGACCATGGGGAGGAAACATTAATATTCCTTGGAGTGAGTCCAGATCTTGGAATCAGAGATCAGCGACAGCACTAGCTCCTGTTCCCCTTTCCTACTAATTCACAGGAGGACAGGTGGTATTGAAGCAATAGATGGTGGAGGGGGTGGTCCTTCCCCCAGCCTCTCGGGTAGAACAGCAGCCTAACATGTGTCTCCCGAGATCACAAAGAGCAGCACATTTCACACGGGCTTCAACACTATTTTCTGGCTGTTTGACATAAGAGAATCTTGCTTCGCTATTTTTAATCGTGATTTCACCTTTGTTTCCTTTCCTTGGTGAATGCAATTTGTTTGACTCAAGAATGCTGTGGATGTAGAAATCCTAAAGCACATTCGCTGTGTATCAATCCCAGTGCAGTCTTCCCAGAGAAGACTCTAAACAAATCCTGGACTGCACCTGGGCCTATGCCAATTCCTATCACTCACCGTCACTCCAGGGAGACAGAACACACAGAGGATACGTTACATAGGCAGGTTCATTACTAACAGATAAGCAGCGAGTGACAACAGAAGCCTGCATTTCAATGTGAGCCAGTCCCTCAAGGCTCAGAAAAGCTGCTCGGGACATATGGAGTCACCCCATTTGCAGTGTAACTGGGGGAAGCCAGAAAGCAGCCCAGCCTGGGTTTTGTACCCTGGAGCCACAGGAAGCACTCAGCTAAAGCACTGCATGACGTCCTCCTCCAGGAAGAACAGGAAGACAGCCCAGGCTGTTCTGAGACATTCCTCCTGATCTCAGGATGTTGCTATCTTAGTCCATTTTTGTTGCTCTAAAGGAACACTTGAGCCTGGGTAACTTCTAAAGAAAAGAGATTGGTTTGCCTCACAGTTCTGCAGGCTGTACTGGAAGCATGGCACCAGAATCTATTTCTCTTGACGGCCTCAGGCTGCTCCCACTCTGGCAGAAGGGAAGGAGGGTCTGTCTGTGCAGAGACCGCAGAGATCACACGGCAAGAGAGAGAGTAAGGGGGAGAGGGAGCGATGGAGCTTCCAAGCTCTTTTTAACAACCAGCTCTCCAGGAACTAACAGAGGGGGAACTTGCTAACCCCGTCTCCTTGGGACAGCATTGATCTGTTCATGATGGATCCACCTCCATGACCCAAACACCTCTGAAGAGGCCCAACCTCCCACAATGGGGGTGAAATTTCAATGTGAGGTTTGAAAGGGTCAAACATCTCAACTAAAGTAGTTGTATCCTCAGCACGTTCTATGGTTACTATGAGAGCTATAATTGAGAAAGCAGGGGAAAGCTAGGTCTCCCGCCATTTGGGTGCTTGTCCTAAAGAGACGTTGTATGTGGTTACCTGCCAATCAAGAAATGCGAGACAATTCATAAAGAGGAACTGCTATGATTAGCTTCTTATTGGTGTCTCCTCTTCTTCCAGGTAACCCCAGACACCTACATGTTCTGATTGGGACCTCAGTGGTCAAAATCCCTTTCACCATCCTCCTCTTCTTTCTCCTTCATCGCTGGTGCTCCGACAAAAAAAGTAAGTCTCACGAAGCAGAGGCCAGAGAGCTCAGGGCCATGTGGGGAAGCAGGATGGGAGCACGCGGATGTGTGTTCCTCACCAGCAGGATGGTCCCTGGCCCAAGACAGGAGCCACAGAGGCAGGACTTTCTAGAGAGAGCACCAGATTCCCTTCCCCTGCCTTCAGCTCACAGACCATTGCCTGATTCTGAACTGTATCCTCACGTCCCCTGCAGCCACTCACATCCAGGAGAAGGTTCCATGACAGGCAGAAAGTGGGAGATAGAATCAATGGGATGGGAACTCAGAGCTATTCATGGGATGGGTCCTTGAACTCAGAGAGATAGAATGTCTGAGTCTGCTGTTGGCAACTGAGGGACCTCAGGCACCTATGGCCTCCCCCTGTTTGTTGGTATCTGCTTATGAAATGAGGACCCAGAAGTGCCCTCCGAGCTCTTTTGTTGACTTCCGTCTTCTACAGATGCTGCTGTAATGGACCAAGAGCCTGCAGGGAACAGAACAGTGAACAGCGAGGTAGGTGCTCCTCGGCCCAGCCTCGTGGCTAGTCTTATTCCCAAAGAGTCCTGAAAAATGTGAGCACCCTCCCTCACTCAGCATTTCCCTCTCTCCAGGATTCTGATGAACAAGACCATCAGGAGGTGTCATACGCATAATTGGATCACTGTGTTTTCACACAGAGAAAAATCACTCGCCCTTCTGAGAGGCCCAAGACACCCCCAACAGATACCAGCATGTACATAGAACTTCCAAATGCTGAGCCCAGATCCAAAGTTGTCTTCTGTCCACGAGCACCACAGTCAGGCCTTGAGGGGATCTTCTAGGGAGACAACAGCCCTGTCTCAAAACCGGGTTGCCAGCTCCCATGTACCAGCAGCTGGAATCTGAAGGCATCAGTCTTCATCTTAGGGCATCGCTCTTCCTCACACCACGAATCTGAACATGCCTCTCTCTTGCTTACAAATGTCTAAGGTCCCCACTGCCTGCTGGAGAGAAAACACACTCCTTTGCTTAGCCCACAATTCTCCATTTCACTTGACCCCTGCCCACCTCTCCAACCTAACTGGCTTACTTCCTAGTCTACCTGAGGCTGCAATCACACTGAGGAACTCACAATTCCAAACATACAAGAGGCTGCCTCTTAACACAGCACTTAGACACGTGCTGTTCCACCTCCCTTCAGACTATCTTTCAGCCTTCTGCCAGCAGTAAAACTTATAAATTTTTTAAATAATTTCAATGTAGTTTTCCCGCCTTCAAATAAACATGTCTGCCCTCATGGTTTCGGTAACGAGACTCTTTTCTTGCCTAAGGCTTCCGGTGTTATCATTACCATGTCCACATAACCCCATCTGTTCTCCATTGGGTTCTCAGCCCTGGACTCTGAGCTTCTGGAAGCAGAATGTAGCCTGATTTGTCTCTGAGACTCCAATTTCCATCCAAAGATACAGCACATAGGAGGCTCCAAGGATCGTGAATCACATGAACAAGTGATATTCTTACTCTCTGCAGACCTGGAAAGCTGGCAGAGTCATTCCACGATGAAACATTTGTAGAGACATAGGCCTTGTTAGTCTCATCTCCACGGGGACACATATCAACATATCATCTTTCATAATATAAATATACAGTCGGTCCTCCATATCTGTGGGGTTTACAGGTGTTTATTGAACCAACAATAAATCAAAAATATTTTCAGAAAAAAATCCCCGAAGTTTCAAGAAGCAAAAAACTATGTTGAATCGACACAAATTGAGTGGCGTGTAGGCTGTGTCAGGAATTATAAGTAATCAAGAGATGATTTCATGTATACAGGAGGATGTGCATGGGTTCTATGCAATTGCTATGCTATTTTTTTTTTTTTTTGAGACAGTCTCACTCTCTCACCCAGGCTGGAGTGCAGTGGCATGATCTCAGCTCACTGCAACCTCTGCCTCCCAGGTTCAAGCGATTGTCTTCCCTCAGCCTCCCCAGTAGCCTCCCCTAGGATTACAGGCACGTGCCACCATGCACAGATAAATTTTTTTGTGTGTGTATTTTTAGTAGAGACGGGGTTTCAGAATGTTGGACCAGCTGGTCTTGAACTCCTGACCTCGTGATCTACCCAACTCAGCCTCCCAAAGTGCTGGGATTACAGGCGTGAGCCACGGTGCCCAGCTTCGCTATGCCATTTCATGCAAGGGGCTTGAGCATCTGCAGATTTTGGTATCTGAATGGGGATCCTGGAACCAATCACCCAGGAATAGTGAAGGACCACAGTATATAATTTTTATTTGTCAATCTTAAAAATAAAGCATAAAAAGTTTACAACAACAAGATAAAAAATAAGAAGTGTTTTTATAGTGTGAGGATAAGTTTAGATTTATTTTTTCCTACGTGTAACCCTATGGTCCTGTGTTATTTATTGAGAAAATATTCTATTCCACCTTAAACTACATGGCAGCCTTTGTCAACTATAAAGGGACTGTGTATCCACAGATGTATTTTAGACACAGTTTTCTGCCCAGTGGTTCTCTGTATCCCCTCTCATGAGGATGCTGCATTTCATATAAACTTATAGAACCCCTTAAAATTTGGTAACCTGAGTTCTCTGATTTGTTATTATAGGTTATTTAGTTTGCTTTTTTTTTTCTTTCTTGAGACAGACTCTTCCTCTGTCACCCAAGCTGGAGTTCAGTGGCTTGAGCTCAGCTCACTGCAGCCTCCGCCTCCCAGGTTCAAGCAATTCTCGTGCCTCAGGTTTAGTACTAGAAACTCATCAGGAAAATTAGAATGGCTTTTTGTCACAATTACTCTGATAATGTTAATAATACCTCTTAGATATTTTGCACATTACACATGAAGAAAAGTTTGAATCTCAGATAAAAACAAAAATACATCAAAAGTCTTTAATGTAAGCACAGAATTCAATCACCTCATGTGTGAGAGGTTGGATCTGAGACGTCTTTTGAGTCTGGTCATAGTGAAGGATGCAAGGTGGCAATTGTAGTCACAACAATTTCCAGGAAGCCATGTTCCGCTCTTGAGCGAGCACCCACTGGGCCTCATGCAAGGTAGAAAGAGCCTGCGTACGTCACCCTCCCATGATGTGGTCAACATGTAAACTGCATGGGCAGGGCGCCAAATAACATCCTGTGCGCTGCTGAGCTGAGCTGGGGCGCGGCCTCCTGTCTGCACCGGCAGCACCATGTCGCTCACTGTCGTCAGCATGGCGTGCGTTGGTGAGTCCTGGAAGGGAATAGAGGGAGGGAGAGTGGGGATGGAGATCTCGGCCTAGAGGTAAAGATATGGGCCTGGAGTGGAGATATGGGCCTGGAGTGGAGATATGGGCCTGGGTGTGGAGATATGGGCCTGGAGGTGTAAATATGGGCCTGGAGTGCAGATATGGGCCTGGAGGGGAGATATGGGCCTGGGTGTGGAGATATGGGCCTGGAGTGGAGATACGGGCCTGGAGTGGAGATATGGGCCTGGAGTGGAGATATGGGCCTGCAGGTGGAGATCTGGGCCTGGAGTGGAGATATGGGTCTGATGTGGAGATATGGGCCTGGAGTGGAGATATGGGCCTGGAGTGGAGATATGGGCCTAGAGGGGAGATCTGGGCCTGGAGTGGAGATATGGGTCTGATGTGGAGATATGGGCCTGGAGTGGAGATAGGGGCCTGGAGTGGAGATAGGGGCCTGGAGTGGAGATATGGGCCTGGAGTGGAGATCTGGGCCAGGAAGTGTTGATCTGGGCCTGGAGCCTGGGTCTCTCCACAGCTGAGAGCCCTGTTCTTGGCAGCAGGTAGCAGGGAGGCTAAGTTTACCTTCAGCCCAGCAAGGGCCTGGCTGCCAAGACACACAGTGCAGTGGGGGCAGCAGGGTGCCCTGGTTTGCCTGCAGTTGGATCGTCTATCATGATCTTTCTTTCCAGGGTTCTTCTTGCTGCAGGGGGCCTGGCCACTCATGGGTGAGTCCTTCCCCAAACCTTAGGGTGTCATCTCCCCACATAAGAGGATTTTTCTGAAACAGGAGGGAAGTCCTGTCGGGGAGTCTCTCATAAACTAGGAAGAGGGGACCCTTGGATACTCGGCCCACATTTCTGACCTCGCCCTCCCCGGCCTTTCTTTCCCTTTCCTGAGTCAAGCTCTGTGAAGACTGGGGTGAGACTGGGGTGCTCCAAGCTGGGGTGTGCAGGGAGGAAGTGGTGTCAGCAGCAGAGAAAGAGAGGGAAGCAGTGCTAGGAACAGCAGGTCCTCTGAGGACAAAGGTATAACTGACACCCTCCAGCGTTTCCGTGACGGTAGGGGCTGCAGTGTGGCTGCGGTCTTTCTACCAGAAGAGGGGGGAAACCACAGCCATGGCCCTGACATTCCAAATCCTCTGAGGGGGCTCAGTTCATGAATTGGCTGATATTCCATTCACATAGGACATGCCCTCCATGCCGTGTCTACTTTGTGTTGTTTTATGTGAGTAATTTTGCAGTATTAAAATCTAGTAAGAGTCACTTATTCAGCACTTGCTCAAAGTTCTCAGCTGACACTTGTTGTAGGGAGACGCCATGTCTATGTGGGGTGGGTCCTTCCTGTAGCCCTGGGCACCCAGGTGTGGTAGGAGCCTTAGAAAGCGGAAATGGGAGAATCTTCTGAGCACAGGGAGGGAGGGGTGGCTCCACATCCTCCTCTCTAAGGCAGTGCCTCCTTCTCCCCCAGGTGGTCAGGACAAACCCTTCCTGTCTGCCCGGCCCAGCACTGTGGTGCCTCGAGGAGGACACGTGGCTCTTCAGTGTCACTATCGTCGTGGGTTTAACAATTTCATGCTGTACAAAGAAGACAGAAGCCACGTTCCCATCTTCCACGGCAGAATATTCCAGGAGAGCTTCATCATGGGCCCTGTGACCCCAGCACATGCAGGGACCTACAGATGTCGGGGTTCACGCCCACACTCCCTCACTGGGTGGTCGGCACCCAGCAACCCCCTGGTGATCATGGTCACAGGTCAGAGGCTTTCTGTCTGGGCTTCTCACTGTCCCACCTCCTGAATCCCAGAGCTTCTGGTGGGGGTGTCCATCAGGGTCCCATCACCCAGGCCCCAACTGTATTTGGGGTCAAGGGAGATTGAATACAGGGGAAATGGGCGCTGTGGTGGGAAGAATAACTGTCGCCAATGATGGCTACATTGTAAACCCTGGAGCCTGTGACTATTTATGTTATAGGGCAGGGGACTGAAGGGGAAGGTGGAGCTCAGGTTGTTGATGAGTTGACCTTGAGATGGGGAGACAGCCTGGACTGTCCTGCTGGGCTCAGTGTAATCACAAGGGTCCGCGTGAGAGGTGGAGGAAGAGGGGAGTGGGGATTAGAGCAGTGTAGTGGGAGGGAGACGCTATCAGCCACTGTGGGCTTTGAAGGTGGAGGAAGGCCACTAGTCACAGAATGCAGGTGGCCTCTAAGGGCTGGAGAAGTCAAGAGAACTGATTCGCTGAGTCTCCAGAGGGAACGCAGCCCTGCAGATGCCTTGATTTCAGCACAGGGAGAACTGGATCCAATTTCTGTCCCCAGAAGTGGAAGGGGTCAGTGTGTTCTCTCCTGCTGCCATGTTTGTGATAATTTTCTGCAGCAGCAACAGGAAACCGACACAGGAACCCAGGTCAAGGACAAGCTAGGAAACCAAACAAGGATAGCCAGGTGTGGTGGTGGGCACGAGTAATCCAACGACTGGGGAGGCTGAGGCAAGAGAATCACTTGAACCGGGGAGGCAGAGGTTGCAGTGAGCCAAGACAACACCACTGCACTCCAGCCTGGGTGAAAAAGTGACTGTCTCAAAAATAAATTAATTAATCAATTAATTAAAGAAACCAAACAAGGAGAAGGTTGGCTACCGTGGGATCAGCAAGGGTGGGATGCTGATGCCACCACCAGGCTCCATCCACATAGGAAGGGGTTGATGCTCCTGGAACCAGCACCAGGGACCACCCTATGGAAGCTGGGGCCATGGAGAAGGCACAGACATGGCAGGAGAGGCTCCCAATCCCCATCAGGAACAGGGTGTGTGGACACTGATGTCTGCCTTACTGATGAGTTGATACCTCTGCCAGAGACTCCAATTTGTTCAAAAGAGATTGATTCAGGCTGCTGAGAGCCTGGACATGCAGCCTGTCCTCTTCCACCCTCACATAGACAGCAGGAAAGAGACTAGTGGGAAAGAGATACAACAGCCCAAGAGATGAGGCTCTCTTCACAGTGGGAAGGGAGTCAGGGGCTACTGGAGACAGAGGGACAGAGAAGAGGGAGGAAGACAAATGGAGGGACCTGCACCAGGGGATATGGGCACAGAAAAGACACGGAGACACAGAGAGGGAGGAGAGAGACAGACCTCTGGGAGGGGAACCCTCACTCATTCCAGGTGCCATGGATGGGATGATAAAGAGAGATGCCTTCTAAACTCACAACTTCTCTTTCTAGGAAACCACAGAAAACCTTCCCTCCTGGCCCACCCAGGGCCCCTGCTGAAATCAGGAGAGACAGTCATCCTGCAATGTTGGTCAGATGTCATGTTTGAGCACTTCTTTCTGCACAGAGATGGGATCTCTGAGGACCCCTCACGCCTCGTTGGACAGATCCATGATGGGGTCTCCAAGGCCAACTTCTCCATCGGTCCCTTGATGCCTGTCCTTGCAGGAACCTACAGATGTTATGGTTCTGTTCCTCACTCCCCCTATCAGTTGTCAGCTCCCAGTGACCCCCTGGACATCGTGATCACAGGTGAGAGTGTCCAGACATTCTTCTCATTGTCATTGGGACACAGAGTGAATGATCCAGGACTTGGAACCCCCAGGTGGTCATGAGGAAGATAAGCGTGGGATTCTTATGGAGAGAGACTGACTCGGTGAGGTCTGTACCAACAGAGACAGGGAAACAGGAGACATAAGTACAGACCAGGTGTCATAACAGAGGACAGACACAGGGGCCATACGGGGAAGTAGAAAAGAGAGAAAGAGGTAAAGGAGACACTCAGACAGACAGACATGTGCCAGAGAGAAGTGTCCTTCCATGCTGACTTTGCTCAGAGACCTGGCACAGGTTAGAAGTTTCATTTCTGTTTTGTCTCCACAAAGTGCTTCTACGAGGAGAACCCAAGGACACCCATATTTCTGACCTGAGTTGGGCCCTGTGGCCTCAGGCCTTGTGGCATCTACAGATGCCATGTTTATTCTGACACCTCTGCCTTCCATGCAGTGGAGCCATAATTATCCCAGGATATCATGGCCCCAGAACACCAACCCCTAAATACTGTGTGTACTTGGTGTCCCCAGACTAGATTCTGAGGCTCATATTCCAAATAATCCTACATATAATAGGATCACTGAGAGACACAGAGATAAATCAGGGACTTCAAAAAGCAAAGGCATAAACACACAGAGAATGAGCCAGAGGAAGGGGATTGAGAGACTCACAGACACACAAAAAGAAAGAAAAGAGGGCAGAGGAGTGGAGAGAATGCTGGAAGGGAGGAGAGAAAAGCCCCAAAATCAGAACCCTGAGGGAGGGGCACAAAGACAGAGAAAGATAAAGATGTGGGGATGGATTGCAGAGATTCCAAATAGAACTAGAGAGACTGAGAGGCAGAGAAAGACAAGGAGATGGAGAGAGACAGATGATAGATGGATAGATAGATATAGATAGATGATAAATAGGTAGATGATAGATAATGGATAGGTTATAGATACATAGATGATGATTGATAGATGATACATAGAGATGATGATGATGATGATGATGAAGATAGATAGATAGAAGACACATATATAAATATATAGATACATAGATGATACATAGAGACTGACAGGCAGACAGAGAGGTAATAGAGAGAGAGAGAGATGATACATAGATACAGATAATACATAGATGATTGATGGATAGACAGATAGACAATTGATAGATAAATGATACATAGATATAGATGACAGATAATTTGTAGATAGACACAAAATAGATAGATAGATAATAGATAGAAATATGCAGAAAGTTATGAACAAGACAGAAAGTGAGAGACTCAGAATTATAGAAAAAGGAAGATCAAGTCAACCAATCCAAGGAGAGTCAGAGAGAATAAAACAATCCAAAAAGGGAAAGCATACCCAGGGGTGGGGAAGTGAGGTCAGAGACCTAGAGAGACAGAGAAGGCGGAAGGAGGAAATAGACATGAAGAGAGTTGGGGTGGAGGGTGAGAGAGAGAGAGAGCATTAGGTCATAGAGCAGGGGAGTGAGTTCTCAGCTCAGGTATGAGGGGAGCTGTGACAAGGAAGAACCTCCCTGAGGAAACTGCCTCTTCTCCTTCCAGGTCTATATGAGAAACCTTCTCTCTCAGCCCAGCCGGGCCCCACGGTTCAGGCAGGAGAGAACGTGACCTTGTCCTGTAGCTCCTGGAGCTCCTATGACATCTACCATCTGTCCAGGGAAGGGGAGGCCCATGAACGTAGGCTCCGTGCAGTGCCCAAGGTCAACAGAACATTCCAGGCAGACTTTCCTCTGGGCCCTGCCACCCACGGAGGGACCTACAGATGCTTCGGCTCTTTCCGTGCCCTGCCCTGCGTGTGGTCAAACTCAAGTGACCCACTGCTTGTTTCTGTCACAGGTGAGGAAAACCCGTGTCTGTCCCATGTCTTATGATCCTAGAGCCATAGCTGAGGAGCTTCCTGCCGATGATGGGGAGAAGCATGGACAGATGCAGAGAGAACACGAAGACTGGGTGTGAGGGGGGGGTCAGGGTGCAGGATGGCAGACAGGGCACCTCCAAACCCTCTTGCATGGCCTGCATGGAGGCCCATGGTCAGGGCTCCAGGCACCCAGGCAGATGGAGAAAGCGGTCAGGACAGACCCAGAGAAGGGGAGACTGGGCTCAGTTTGGGGAGATCAGAGGTTCCCTCAGCCCCTCAACCTTACCCATTTCCCAGAAGCCCATCCTGGCCTCTCACCCACACAGAGAGATGTCATCACCAGCAACCCCTACACTCTTTTCTTTTCATTTTCAAAAATATTTATTGAGGTTAAATGTAACTATATAATTTACCAACTTTACCATTTTTAAAAGTAAAATCTAGTGGTCATAAATACCTTTATATGCTGGGTGTGGTGGTTCACGGTTGTAATCTTGGCGCTTTGAGAGGCCAAGAAAGGTGGATCATTTAAGATCAGGGACTCGAGATCAGCCTGGCCAACATGCGGGAAATTCATCTTTACTAAACAGACAAGAAAAATTAGCCAAGCATGCCGGCATGCACCTGTAGTCCTAGCTACTTGGGAGGCTGAGGCAGGAGAAGCACTTAAAGCCAGGAGGCAGAGGTTGCACTGAGCCGAGATCATGCCACTGCACTGCAGCCTGGGAGACAGAGAGAGACTCTGTTTCTAAATAAATAAATACATCTATATTCTTTTTTTTGTTACCCTCCACCCTTCCCTTCCTGGCCTCTGGTATCCACCATTCTATTCTCTACCTTCATGAGATCCACCTTTTATCTCCTGCATGTGGTGAGAAATGGGAATCTTTGTAATGACCTCGAGTTCCATCCATGTGGCTGCAAATGACAGGATGTTATTGTTTCTATGGATGAGTAGTCTCCACCGTGTGTGTGTACTACAGTTCTCTATCCATTCACCCACTGATAGGCAGGTAGGTTGACTCCACATCTTGGCTACTGTGAACAGTGCTGGAACAGTCATATGAGTGCAGATATCACTTCGATACACTGATGTCCTTTCCTTTGGATATAAACCCAGTAGTGAAATTGCTGGACACTATGAAAGTTCTCTTTTTTTTTTTTTCTTTTTTGAGAAAGAGTTTCCCTCCTTAGTCCAAGCTGGAGTCAAAGTGGTGCGATCTTGGCTCATTGCAACCTCTGCTTCCTAGGTTCAAACGATTCTCCTGACTCAGCCTCCCTAGTAGCTGTGATTACAGGTGCACGCCACCATGCCTGACTAATTCTTGTATTTTTTAGCACAGACGGGATATCCCAATTTTGGGCAGGCTGCTCTCAAACTCCTGACCTCAAGTGAGGTGCCTGCCTCGGTTTCCCAAAGTGCTGAAGTTACAGGCATAAGCCACTATGCCCAGCCTGCTTTTAGTTTTTTAAAGATTTTCCATACTTTTCTCCATAATAGTTGTACTAATTTACATTCCTACCAACAGGGTACCAGGGTTCTCCTTTCTCTACCATCTTGCCAGCATTTGTTTTGCCTGTCTTGCAGATAAAAGCCATTTTACTTTACTTTATTTATTTATTTATTTATGTTGAGATGGAGTTTCACTCATAGTCGCCCAGGCTGGAGTGCAAGGGTGTGATCTCGGCTCACTGCAACCTCTGCCTCCCGCGTTCAACTGATTCTCCTGCCTCAGCCTCCAAAGTAGCTGGGATTACAGGCATGTGCCACCACGCCTAGCTAATTTTTGTATGTTTAGTAGAGAGGGAGTTTCTCCATGTTGGTCAGGCTGGTCTCCCGACCTCAGGTGATCCGCCCACCTCCGCCTCCCAAAGTGCTGGAATTACAGGCGTGAGCCACCGGCCTAAAAGGCATTTTAATGGGATGAGATGAAAACTCATCGCGATTGTAATTTACATTTCTGTGATGATGAGTGATGCTGAGCACTTTTTCATATACGTGATCGCCATTTCTATGTTTTGTTTGTGGAGAAATGTCTCCTCATGTCTTTTGCTCGTTTTTTAATTAAATTGTTTTATTGAGTTGTTTGAGCTTCTTATATTTCCAGTTATTAATCCCATCTCAGATGAATAGTTTGCAAATATTTGCTCCTATTTTGTGGGTTGTCTCTTCACTTTGTTGGTTTATCTTTGGTGGTGCAGAAGTTGCTTGGTTTGATGTAATCCTAATGGTCTATTTTTTGCTTTGATTACTTGTGTTTTGAAGGTTTTAAACAAAATGTCTTTCGTCAGACAAATGTCTTCCCCATTATTTTCTTCTACATGTTTCATAGGTTCAGGCCTTAGACTCATGTTTTTAATCCATTTTCATTTGATTTTTGTGTAAGGTGACAGGTATAGATGCAGTTTTATTCCTCTGCATGTAGATATCCAGTTTTCCCCACACCATTTATTGAAGACTGTCCTTTCCTGATTGTAAGTTCTCGGCACCTTTGTCAAAGTCCATTAAATGGGCTGGGTATGGTGGCTCACACCTGCAATTCCAGCACTTTGGGAGGCCGAGGCGGGTGGATCACCTAAAGCCAGGAGTTCAAGACCAGGCTGGCCAACAGAGTGAAACCTCGTCTCTACTAAAAATACAAAAATTAGCTGAGCATGGTGATCAGTGCCTGTAATACCACTACTCAGGAGTTTGAAGCAAGAGAATTTCTTGAATCCAGGAAGTGGAGGTTGCATTGAGCTGAGATTGCACCTCTACACTCCAGCCTGCATGACAGAGCAAGATTCTATCACACACACACAAAAGAAAGCCATTGGATGTAAATGCATGGATTATATCTGTGTTCTCCATTCTGTTCCATTTTTTATGTGCCTTTCTTTATGCCAATGTCATGCTGTTTTGCTTACTACAGCTCTGTAACATATTTCTAAGTCAGGTAGTGTGATGCTCCTGTTTTCTCTTTATACCTTCAAGTCTCAAGACAGTGGGCATCGCACACAAAAATTATGGAGAAAAGGATCCCAAGACTCCCAGGGTCCAACATTAGATAACAGAGTGTTGGCCATGAACCAACCTCAAAGATTTCCATTGAGTAGAGGACAAGCACCCTCATTTCCTCACATCTCTCCTGTCCCGTGTTCTAGGAAACCCTTCAAGTAGTTGGCCTTCACCCACAGAACCAAGCTCCAAATCTGGTGAGTAAAGGACCCCTCTTATCTCTGCTTTTGGAAACCTGGGGAGGTGGAAGCCTTGGATGCAAGTGTTGGCTCAAACCTCCCAGCTCTGTGAATGAGGGCCTGTCTTCCACCATCTCTGAACTCCAGACACTCCAACAGTGAAAGGGATCTAGGGCCACCAAAGGGCTCAGCGAAGTCTCTTTACCTTTAATTTCCTGCAGGTGAGACCTCCTACAAGCTAGAAGAATAATTGCCAATCTGACATCCTTCTCAGGAAAAATGCAGTGTTTTTTCTGCCTGCATTCCTAACTGGAGGATAAATTCCCGGGGGCTTGAGAGAGGGAAGGGAAGGGAACATCTGATGAGGGTGGGTGTTTTAGAGAAGTTCCACTTGCCAAGGAATGAATTACTGTTGGTCATCAGGCAACCCTGGCTGACTCAGCAGAGCAAGAGCCTTGCCGTAACAGAGAACAGAGCTCATGCACGCACACTTCGACTCACTGACTCATTCAGCCACGGCCCCATGCTCAGGCTGTGCAGTGTGGAAGCTTTTCCTATTGTTGCCATAACAAATTTCCACAAGATTCGTGGGTGAAAACAAAACGGTTATTTAATTATCTTACAGTGCTGTAGCTCAAAGCATGACGTGCATGTCACTGGGCTAAAATCAAGGTGACAGCAAGGCTGCCTTCCCTCTGAGGATTCCAGGCAAGAATCTGCTTCTCACTTTTCTCAGCTTCTAGAGGCTCCCATGTTCCTTGGCTCCTGGTACCCTTCCTCCTTCCTCAAAGCCCACAAAGACTGGTCACATCTCACATGGCATCACTCAGACCCTTCTTCCTTACCACACCTCTTTCTCTGAATGCTGCTCTCCCTTCTTGCCCTTCTTTTGAAAACTTGGGGATTCTATTGGGTTCACCAAGATGAAAATCCATCATAATCTCCCGGAAATCATCCAGGATACCCTCCTTTTAAGTTCAGCTGACTAGCAACCATAATTCCATCTGCAATCTTCATTCCTCCTTTCATGTAAAATAACATATTCACAAGCTATGGAGGCTAGGACATGGACATTTTTGGGGTGGGACAACATTCTCCTGCCTTCCACAAACAGTGAACAAGATGCATTTGGCCTCTGTTCTTGGGACACTGATCTTGCAGATGGTTAAATGGGAGGGCAGAAAATGTAGGCACAAGGGGACCAATAAATGAATGATCTATTGAGAAGCATCTGTGCATGAAATCTATTTATTTATGTATTTACCTACTTGTTTATTGAGACGGAGCCTTGCTCTGTCGTCCAGGCTAGAGTGCAGTGGCATGATCTCGGCTCACTGCAACCTCCACCTCCTGGGCTGAACTGATCTCCTCCCTCAGCCTCTCCAGTAGCTGGGATTACAGACCACAACCACCACGCCCGGCTAACTCTTTTTGCATATTTTCTGTAGAGAGGATGTTTCACCATGTTGGCCAGGCTGGTCTCAAATTCCCAACCTCAGGTGATCCAATAGCCTCTGCCTCCCAACACGCTGGGATAAGAGGCATGAGCCACGGGGCCAAGCCAAATTTTCAAATCAATAATAGATAATGCTGAGTGTATGATTTCAGGTGACAGAGAAGTTCTCACTAATCAGATATTTGTGACATTAATGAAAAACACGGATTGAACCCCTGGAAGATTGGCAGAAGGATTTTCCACACAGCTGTCAGCCGTGAAGGCACAAAGGTGAAAACAATCTGATGTGGAAGGAAGAGGCTCTGCCTGAAATGCCGGGAATGAGATGGGGAGAATGACAAGACGACTGTGGAGAGACGGAGAGCACACTGGGTACACAGGAAACTAAGGAGCAACAAGGAGTGTGTGTTTGACACTCACAGCCCTTGGATTCACCTCGGGGTAACCAGGAATCCCTACATGATTAATATGACTGACATGAAAATAAGGGAGGCTCAGGTGCATAACTGGAATCTAGGAGACCGTGGAAAAGGCAATTGCCGCCCCACTGGTGAAATGTGGTGCTGATTTAGACACTAAATGAATGAAGTAGATGGATATAAGATATGTTTGTGAGGTAGAATCATTGACTGGAAACGCTTACTGGGTTTAATTTTTCCTGGTAGTTTAATCCTCGCTTCACTAACTTATTTCTGAGATTTATTTCTCCTGCATCTAAATCAATACCTGGCAGAGGAGGGAGAGCTAGATGAGGGGTGGTGCAAATGAAGGGACCTAGTATAGCATAATATACAAGGCTGTGAACGGTGGCTCACGCCTGTAACCCAGCACTTCAGGAGGCCAACGCGGGTGGATCACATGAAGTCAGGAGTTCGAGACCAGCCTGGCCAACATGGAGAAACCCTATCTCTACTAAAAATACAAAAATTAAACAGGCATGATGGTGGTGCATGACTGTAATCCCAGCTACTCTGGAGGAGGAAGCAGGAGAATGACTTCAGCCCTGGAGGCAGAGGTTGCAGTGAGTGGAGATCGCATCACTGCACACCAGCCTGGGCTACACAGGGATACTCTGTCTCAAAAAATAAAAATAAAAAATACATAAATATAATAATATACACAAATGATGCAGGCACCTGAATTCCAATCATCATTTTTCTATTCCTCTATAATTACTTCTTTGATCCTTTATCTTATCCATTAGAAAATCAGCCTAAAACCTCTTCCATATTTGGCTTTCTGTGAACATGAGATCATATGGAAAATATGAAAGCCCCCTGAACCCACCAGCACAGGCCCTGAAATAGGGAAAGTGCTCTGTTCATCACAAGAAACTTTCCCCCTCACCCAAATCCCCCACCTCACCCCTACTTCCAATCACCTGTGGAGATACAGATAGATCATGGGGAGGTAAACGCTAATACTCCTTGGAGTGAGTTCAGATCTTGGAATCAGAGATCAGCACCAGCACTAGCTCCTGCTCCCCTTTCCTACTAATTCACAGGAGGACAGGTGGTTTTGAAGCAATAGATGGTGGAGGGGGTGGTCTTTCCCCCAGCCTCTCAGGTGGAACAGCAGCCTAACATGTGTCTCGCGAGATCACAAAGAGTAGCACGTTTCACATGGGCTTCATCATTATTTCCTGGCTGTTTGACATAAGAGAATTCTACTTTGCTTTTTTGATCTTGATTTCACTTTTGTGTCCTTTTCTTGGAGAATGTAATTTGAGTCAAGAGGGTTGTGGATGTAGAAACTGTAAAGCACATTCACTGTGTATCAATCCCAGTCCAGTCTTTCCAGAGAAGACTCTAAACACCTGCTGTACTGCACCTGGGCCTATGCCAATTTCTATCACTCACCGTCACTCCAGGGAGACAGAACACACAGAGAATACGTTACATAGGCAGGTTCATTACTAACAGATAAGCAGCGAGTGACAACAGAAGCCTACATTTCAACGTGAGCCAGTCCCTCAAGGCTCAGAAAAGCTGCTCGGGACATATGGAGTCACCTCATTTGCAGTGTATCTGGGGGAAGCCAGAAAATAGCCCAGCCTGGGTTTTGTACCCTGAAGCCACAGGAAGCACTCAGCTAAAGCACTGCATGACGTCCTCCTCCAGGAAGAACAGGAAGACAGCACAGGCTGTTCTGAGACGTTCCTCCTGATCTCAGGACGTTGCTGTCTTAGTCCATTTTTGTTGCTATAAAAGAACACTTGAGCCTGGGTTACTTCTTTTTTTTTTTTTTTTTTTTTTGTATAGTGCTTCTGATGAGCTTTTTTTTAAAATTTTTATTATTATTATACTTTAAGTTTTAGGGTACATGTGCACAATGTGCAGGTTAGTTACATATGTATACATGTGCCATGCTGGTGTGCTGCACCCATCAACTCGTCATTTAGCATTAGGTATATCTCCTAATGCTATCCCTCCCCCCTCCCCCCACCCCACAACAGTCCCCAGAGTGTGATGTTCCCCTTCCTGTGTCCATGTGTTCTCATTGTTCAATTCCCACCTATAAGTGAGAACATGCGGTGTTTGGATTTTTGTCCTTGTGATAGTCTACTGAGAATGATGATTTCCAATTTCATCCATGTCCCTGCAAAGGACATGAACTCATCATTTTTTATGGCTGCATAGTATTCCATGGTGTATATGTGCCACATTTTCTTCATCCAGTCTATCATTGTTGGACATTTGGGTTGGTTCCAAGTCTTTGCTATTGTGAATAGTGCCACAATAAACATACGTGTCCATGTGTCTTTATAGCAGCATGATTTATAGTCCTTTGGGTTTATACCCAGTAATGGGATGGCTGGGTCAAATGGTATTTCAAGCTCTAGATCCCTGAGGAATCGCCACACTGACTTCCACAATGGTTGAACTAGTTTACAGTCCCACCAACAGTGTAAAAGTGTTCCTATTTCTCCACATCCTCTCCAGCACCTGTTGTTTCCCGACTTTTTAATGATCGCCATTCTAACTGGTGTGAGATGGTATCTCATTGTGGTTTTGATTTGCATTTCTCTGATGGCCAGTCATGGTGAGCATTTTTTCATGTGTTTTTTGGCTGCATAAATGTCTTCTTTTGAGAAGTGTCTGTTCATGTCCTTTGCCCACTTTTTGATAGGATTGTTTGTTTTTTTCTTGTAAATTTGTTTGAGTTCATTGTAGATTCTGGATATTAGCCCTTTGTCAGATGAGTAGGTTGCGAAAATTTTCTCCCATTTTGTAGGTTGTCTGTTCACTCTGATGGTAGTTTCTTTTGCTGTGCAGAAGCTCTTTAGTTTAATTAGATCCCGTTTGTCAATTTTGGCTTTTGTTGCCGTTGCTTTTGGTGTTTTAGACATGAAGTCCTTGTCCATGCCTATGTCCTGAATGGTAATGCCTAGGTTTTCTTCTAGGGTTTTTATGGTTTTAGGTCTAACGTTTAAGTCTTTAATCCATCTCAAATTAATTTTTGTATAAGGTGTAAGGAAGGGATCCAGTTTCAGCTTTCTACCTATGGCTAGCCAGTTTTCCCAGCACCATTTATTAAATAGGGAATCCTTTCCCCATTGCTTGTTTTTCTCAGGTTTGTCAAAGATCACATAGTTGTAGATATGTGGCATTATTTCTGAGGGCTCTATTCTGTTCCATTGATCTATATCTCTGTTTTGGTACCAGTACCATGCTGTTTTGGTTACTGTAGCCTTGTAGTATAGTTTGAAGTCAGGCAGCATGATGCCTCCAGCTTTGTTCTTTTGGCTTAGGATTGACTTGGCAATGCAGGCTCTTTTTTGATTCCATATGAACTTTAAGGTAGTTTTTTCCAATTCTGTGAAGAAAGTCATTGGTAGCTTGATGGGGATGGCATTGAATCTATAAATTACCTTGGGCAGTATGGCCATTTTCACGATCTTGATTCTTCCTACCCATGAGCATGGAATGTTCTTCCATTTGTTTGTATCCTCTTTTATTTCATTGAGCAGTGGTTTGTAGTTCTCCTTGAAGAGGTCCTTCATATCCCTTGTAAGTTGGATTCCTAGGTATTTTATTCTCTTTGAAGCAATTGTGAATGGGAGTTCACTCATGATTTGGCTCTCTGTTTGTCTGTTATTGGTGTATAAGAATGCTTGTGATTTTTGTACATTGATTCTGTATCCTGAGACTTTGTAGAAGCTGCTTATCAGCTTAAGGAGATTTTGGGCTGAGACAATGGGGTTTTCTATATATACAATCATGTCATCTGCAAACAGGGACAATTTGACTTCCTCTTTTCCTAATTGAATACCCTTTATTTCCTTCTCCTGCCTAATTGCCCTGGCCAGAACTTCCAACACTATGTTGAATAGGAGTGGTGAAAGAGGGCATCCCTGTCTTGTGCCAGTTTTCAAAGGGAATGCTTCCAGTTTTTGCCCATTCAGTATGATACTGGCTGTGGGTTTGTTATAGATGGCTCTTATTATTTTGAGATACGTCCCATCAATGCCTAATTTATTGAGAGTTTTTAGCATGAAGCGTTGTTGAATTTTGTCAAAGGCCTTTTCTGCATCTATTGAGATAATCGTCCGGTTTTTGTCTTTGGTTCTGTTTATATGATGGATTACATTTATTGATTTGCATATATTGAACCAGCCTTGCATCCCAGAGCCTGGGCAACTTCTAGAGAAAACAGATTTGTTTGCCTCACAGTTCTGCAGGCTGTACTGGAAGCATGGCACCAGCATCTGTTTCCTGTGACGGCCTCAGGCTGCTCCCACTCTGGCAGAAGGGAAGGAGGGTCTGTCTGTGCAGAGACCACAGAGATCACATGGCAAGAGAGGGAGCAAGGGGGAGGGCGAGCGATGGAGCTTCCAAGCTCTTTTTAACAACCAGCCCTCCGGGAACTAATAGAGGGGGAACTTGCTAACCCCATCATGTGGGGCAGCATTAATCTATTCATGATGGATCCACCTCCATGACTCAAACACCTTCCCATAGGCCCAAACTTCCACACTGGGGGTTAAATTTCAATATTTCAGTGTGAGGTTTCAAAGGGTCAAACATCTAAACTAAAGCAGCTGTATCCTCAGCATGTTCTATGGTTTCTATGAGAGCTGTAACTGAGAAAGCAGGAGAAAGCTGGGTCTCCCGCCATCAGGCTGCTTGTCCTAAGGAGATGTTCCATGTGGTTACCTGTCAATCAAGAAATGAGACAATCCATAAAGAGGAACTGCTATGATTAGCTTCTTATTGGATTCCCATCTTCCTCCAGGTATCTGCAGACACCTGCATGTTCTGATTGGGACCTCAGTGGTCATCTTCCTCTTCATCCTCCTCCTCTTCTTTCTCCTTTATCGCTGGTGCTCCAACAAAAAGAGTAAGTCTCACGAAGCAGAGGCCAGAGAGCTCAGGGCCATGTGGGGAAGCAGGATGGGAGCACGCGGGTGTGTGTTCCTCACTGGCAGGATGGTCCCTGGCCCAAGGGAGGAGCCACAGAGGCAGGGCTTTCTAGAGAGAGCACCAGACAACCTGCCCCTGCCTTCAGCTCACAGACCATTGCCTGGTTCTGAACTGTATCCTCACATCCCCTGCAGCCACTGACATCCAGAAGCTTCCATGACAGGCAGAAAGTGGGAGACAGAATCAATGGGATGCCAATTGAGAGCACTTCATGGGATGGGGTCTTGAACTCAGAGAGATAGAATGTCTGAGTCTGGATGTTGGCAGCTGAAGAGCCTCAGGCACCTACAGCCTCCCCCTGTGGGTTGGTGTCTGCCCATGAAATGAGGACCCAGAAGGGCCCTCCAAGCGGTTTTGATGACTTCCGTCTCCTACAGATGCTGCTGTAATGGACCAAGAGCCTGCGGGGGACAGAACAGTGAATAGGCAGGTAGGTCCTCCTCGGCCCAGCCTCACGGATACAGTCTTATCCCTAATAGTCCTGAAAAATGTGAGCACCCTCCCTCACTCAGCATTTCCCTCTCTCCAGGACTCTGATGAACAAGACCCTCAGGAGGTGACGTACGCACAGTTGGATCACTGCGTTTTCATACAGAGAAAAATCAGTCGCCCTTCTCAGAGGCCCAAGACACCCCTAACAGATACCAGCGTGTACACGGAACTTCCAAATGCTGAGCCCAGATCCAAAGTTGTCTCCTGCCCACGAGCACCACAGTCAGGTCTTGAGGGGGTTTTCTAGGGAGACAACAGCCCTGTCTCAAAACCAGGTTGCCAGATCCAATGAACCAGCAGCTGGAATCTGAAGGCATCAGTCTGCATCTTAGGGGATCGCTCTTCCTCACACCACGAATCTGAACATGCCTCTCTCTTGCTTACAAATGCCTAAGGTCGCCACTGCCTGCTGCAGAGAAAACACACTCCTTTGCTTAGCCCACAAGTATCTATTTCACTTGACCCCTGCCCACCTCTCCAACCTAACTGGCTTACTTCCTAGTCCTACTTGAGGCTGCAATCACACTGAGGAACTCACAATTCCAAACATACAAGAGGCTCCCTCTTAACACGGCACTTACACACTTGCTGTTCCACCTTCCCTCATGCTGTTCCACCTCCCCTCAGACTATCTTTCAGCCTTCTGTCATCAGTAAAATTTATAAATTTTTTTTATAACTTCAGTGTAGCTCTCTCCTCTTCAAATAAACATGTCTGCCCTCATGGTTTCGATAATGTGACTCTTTATTCGCCAAAAGTTTCCAGTGTTATCATTACTATGTCCATATAACCTGATATGTTCTCTACTGGGTTCTCAGCCCTGGACTCTGAGCTTCTGGAAGCAGGGTGGAGCCTCATTTGTCTCTGGGACTCCAATTTCCATCCAAAGATGCAGCACATAGGAGGTTCCAAGGATCGTGAATCACATGAACAAGTGATATTCTTACTCTCTGCAGACCTGGAAAGCTGGCAGAGTCATTCCAAGATGAAACATTTGTAGAGTCATAGGCCTTGTTAGTCTCATCTCCACAGGGACACATGTCAACACATCATCTTTCATACTATAAATATACAGTCGCTCCTCCATATCTGTGGGGTTTACAGGTGTTTATTGAACCAAATATAAATCAAAAATATTCAGAGAAAAAATCCACAAAGTTCCAAAAAGCAAAAATACTATATTGTGTGGACACAAGTGAGGTGGTGTGTAGGCTGTATCAGGAATTATAAGTAATCTAGAGATGATTTCATGTATACAGGAGGATGTGCATGGGTTATATGCAAACGCTGTGCCATTTCATGCAACAGGCTTGAGCATCTGCAGATTTTGGTGTCTGGTAGGGAGGGGGGTTTCCTGGAACCAATCACCCATGAATAGTGAAGGACAACTGTATATAATTTTCATTCATCAATTTTATAAATAAATCATCAAAATGTATGATAATAAGATAAAAAATTAGCAGTGTTTTTATGGTGTGAAAATAAGCTTAGATTTATTTTTTCCTGCTTGTAACCCTCTGGTCCAATGTTATTTACTGAGAAGACATTCTATTCCACCTTAATCCGCATGGCAGCCTCTGTCAACTATAAAAGGACTGTGTGTACACAGATGTATTTTACACACTCTTTTCTGCTCAGTGGCTCTCTGTGTCCACTCTCATGAGGATGCTGCACTTTATGTGGCCTTATAGAACCCCTTAAAATTTGGCAGCCTGAATCCTCTAATTTCTCCTTCCTCTTTAAGATTGCCATTATTATTATTATTGGCTATTTGCTTTTCCATGTAAATTTGTAATCATTTTTCTCATTTCCACCAAAAACAATGCTTGTAATTTTGTTGTGACTCCCTTACATCTACAGGTAAGTTCTGTCCTATAGAAACATAATGCAAACCACATGCATTCTTTCAAACTTGCTAGTATCCAAATTAAAAAGCTAACAAGAAACAGATAAAATTAATTTAAGTTAACCCAATGGACCCAAAATATTATTAACCCAACAGACCCAAAATATTAACCTAATAGATCCAAAATATTATTTTATTATACAAGTAGACTCAAAATATTATCATTTCAACATGTAATCATGTGTCATCTTGGAAAACATCAGATCCCTGTCTAGGTGGGCAAAGATTTTTCTTCGTAATATCTCATTTCCACATTTCCACTTGGCACAGAAACTGCCCCCAAGGCTCAGGATACTAAGATGCAGTAGGAATGGGTAGATGTATCTGGAGGAAAGTGACTGAATGAAATTGAGACATCAGAGTCTGGGAAACTCACTAGAACTACAGGGACAGTGTGGGGGAGGGAATTGGGAGATGTTGATCAAAGGATACAAACTATCAGGTATTCAGGAGGAATGGGTCTGAAGATCTCTTGTACAGCTTTGCCACTATGGTTGACAATACTGTACTCTATACTTGAAATTTACCAGGAAAGTAGATTTTTTTTTTTAAATATGGAACACTTCACGAATTTGCGTGTCATTCTTGCGCAGGGGCCATGCTAGTTTTCTCTGTATCGTTCCAATTTTAGTATATGTGCTGCCGAGGCAAGCATGGGAGAGTAGA